>NC_000002.12:198398708-198701739 GCF_000001405.40 Homo sapiens | reverse complement strand
AGTTCTTGTGTTTATATAAGCGCTTCATTCATTCATCCATCTGTTCATACATCCAGCCACCCATGAATGCACTGAACACAAATTAGCTGGGCATCTCTCTATTTCAGGCTCTGGGTACTATGCTTGAGTTTCCTATTCTCTCAATGGGCAGTGCCATATTGTACTTTCTCCCTTCATTCATCATACAGCATCTTTTGCTTATTTGTTTGTTTGCCTTGTGCATGCCAGCATATCAGCTGTATTCTAAAGCACCTCTGTCTTTTTTTGAAGAGGTATGAGCATCGTCCAGACTGATATATCACCCCCCATCCCCTCACCCCATTCTAGCTGTTGTCCAAATAGTAAAACAATGGTCAAGGTACAGCAATATCACAGAAAGGTGAAGGCCTGAGTTGCCATGCTTTGAATGGACAGCATTTCTAAGAGGCAGTCAATAGAAGAGAGACAGATGGCTCACTAAACACTGAAGAAGACGCTAGACCCACACTGCATACATCTCATTGTCACTACTCCTCTGCCACGCTGGACAGGTTCTGTTTGTCCTCCACCATGTCTTTGGTATCTGTATTAGTTTTACTAGGGCTGACATAACAAAATACCACAATCTGGGTGACTTAAGACAACAGAAATTTATTCTCTCACAATTCTGGAGGCCGGAAGTCCAAAATCAAGGTGTCAGCAGAGTTATGTTCTCTCTGAGACTCTGGGTAGAGTTCTTTCTTGCCTGTTCTACTGTCTGGTGGCTCTGGCAAATCCTTGACATTCCTTGGCTTGTAGTTGGATCACTCATCTCTGCCTTCTCTCCTGTATCTGTGTCCAAATTTCCCTCTTCTCGTATAAAGACACCAGTCATTGTATTAGGGTCCACCTTAATGCATTATGATCTCATCTGAACTTGATTATATCTGCAAAGACCCTATTTCCAAATAAAGTCACATTCACAGGTTCCAGGTGGACATCAATTTGGGAGATGGGACACTATTCAACCCAGTATGTATCCAACTCCCTTTCTTACCTCTTCAAGTTCAGGGGCTTGTTATTCCTTCTTCATTTTCATGAACTTGTTCATGCAATTGTAACTTGTTTACACCATGTGAAATCCCTTTGTTAAAGTCTCTTCAAATTATCCAGTGTGCTAGTGTCATTTGCATCCTGCGGAGACTCAAACTGATACACCTGCCCTCCCACCTGCCTTTTTTTATTTTAACTTGCTTTCACTTACCACTTATAGCAGCAATGTTAAGAATAGAAAGCATTGAACCAGGGATGATTTGCCCTGGGGCCCCATAGCCTTTGTGGGGAAAGACCATTTGGCTTGACTATGATTCTGCCTTTAATCTTCACTGAACTGAAAGATTTTAAATGCATGGCACTGATAAAAAGAGCTCTAGGGTAAAGAAAGCCAAAGGGGTGAGAAAGGAAATGGCAATAGACTGCTTCCATATAGCTATAGAGAAATATTTTAATAACCACGGAAAAGCAGGAAGTGGACAGAAATATTTGTAAAATGGGTATGCTGTTGCTAATATGGCCACAAAGGTGTGTTTTGTTTTGTTTTTCTTCTTCTATGTGTAATTTATATCAATGCATCTTTTAAATCCTAGAAAAAAATCCTTCTAGTATTCTTATACTTTCGTTTAGGAGTTTTATATTTATTATAAGTGAAATTGGTTCATAGTTTTCATTTTTATGCTGTCATTTTTAGACTTCAGGTAAGAATTAGGCTAAATTTGAAAAATAAATTTTGAAGATTTTATTCTTTATTTACATTCTAAAACAGTTCAATTAGAACAGGGTTTAATTGTTCCATGAGTGTCTGTCTCCTGAAGATTTCAAATAATTTGCTGGTGAAACCATCTTGGCTTGACAAATTTTTGATGATTATGGATAAGCTTAGAAATTTATTCTATAATGACTACTTTTTTATTACTTTGGCAATTTTAATTTATTAAAATTATTTACTCATTGAGATTTAAAAATTAATAGAGCTTCATGTAGAAAGCAGTTAGTTTTTAAGTCTTTGTATTTCTAATCAGATCTTCCTACTTCTCTATAATAATAATAACAAAATATTACAATTATAAGAGTAATAATACTATTTTCCAGGCACCGTGTCATGCTGTGTACACATTATATTCTTCAATCTTTACCACGGCACTAAGAGCTAGATGCTATCAATTTCCTGTCTTTGAATGAGAAAACCAAGGCATTTATTACAATGGTTACATTTTTCTCCTTTGATGGAGTAACATATAAAGATAATAGCAGATCCTTCAATGTTGAGATAGCCTTGCTGAAACTCACATAAATCACTATGACTGTATTCCTTTCAATCCCAGGCTAACTTCAGAAATCATCCTCCTAACTCCCAAACTATATGTATTTGACTTTTTTCTCTTTTTTTCCTATATTGGTCTTGTCAGAGGTTTGTCTATTTTATAGACAGAGAACTAGTTATTAGCTTTATTAACAAACTCTACCTTTTCTATTTTTTCAAAGTTTATTTATTAATATTCTGGTTTTTGTCCTCATACTTAGGGTTAATTTTGATATCTTTTTAGCTTTTTCAGTTTAATTTTTATTCTTTCTTATTTAACGATAAAAGTATTTAAAACTAAGAAATTTTCCCTGAGTATAACTTGTAAAAAATCTTACACATTGCTATGTTAGGTTGAACCAATAAAATTGGCAATAGTTGACAGTTTTGAGATAACAAAAATGATAATTTCATATGGATCAACCTAATGCACAGTGTTATTGACAGAATTGTTTTCTTAATATTCTATAATTACAATTTGATATGCTTTCTTGTTTCAAAGATTATTTCAAGTGAGAGATTTAAGTGTTCTTAATGACTTAATTTTTACTCACATTTTTCTCAAAACATTTTTAAATTCTAAAAATTTGAAAGAATTAAGAATTCTAAAACATAGCTCTAATGTTCTCTTTTTACTCAAAAAAAATTTCCCTTGTTCTAAGGTGGCAGTCATTACCCACCACACCACCTCTCGACACACAGACCAACCTTACCCCAGTGTAACAGCCAGACCCCATCCTTCCCCTGCCAGCGTCTGGCATGAAGAAAGTCAATTCATCTTTTTTTTCTTTTTTTTTTTTTTTTTTCTGTGCTATACCCAGTGACCTCTCAAAACCTCTCATATTTCCTCTATCTCCTCATGCCAAACTTTGTCAAAGAGTACTCTACATTCATGCATCCCATTTCAACCTCTTCTATTCCTTTAGAATATAGCATATAACCTTTAGGTTATAGCATATAACCTGGTTTCACTTCTACTTCCTCCTGCATGTTTTCTTTTCTGCATCTCAATTGCTCTTGCTCCCCTGAGCCACATCTTCTCTTCCTCTCCCCTTTTGGCTACCCAAACACCACTCCCTTGCTCTTCTACCTCTCTGACCATTTCTCCCTCTTTCTATCAGCAACTATTGTTTTATTCATCTGCCAAGTGCTATTGTTCCTCAAGCTTCCACTTCTAGTTATTTTTCTCTTTTTTCCACCACATTTTTGGGTAATCTTACACATTTACTTGGAAATTTATATTGCTAGAACTAAGTTCTTTTCTGTGTGTCAGACTCACTTTTCCAGCTGTTTCAAATTTATTGCAGAACCAAATAATAACATCATGGTTGGGACCACAGCTTGGAGTCACAGATACCTTGGATTTTATCATCTGAAAATGGTGATATTAATGCTGACTATACAGGATTATTGTGATGTTAAATGAGATAATGTGTGTGAAGGACATATCATCCAGTACTTAGGGTTTCTCTCTCTCCCTCTCTCTCTGTCTTTCCTACTTCCTGTTTTTTTTTCACTTCCCATTGGATGTCTACCCCTATGTGCAGAATGAAATTCACATTTTGCCCTTATACCTGTGTTTCTTCTATTTAACTGAAGAGCAATGTCATATAACCAGCTAGAAATCTAGGAATTACCTTAAATCACTCTTCAGATCCAGGTGGTACACTTCCTGTCGGTCTTATTTTCTAATGTCTTCTGTGTGTACCAGATCCCCACTACCTCTCTCTTAGATGGTTTAATAGGTTTCCAATATTCTACTATTAATAGCTTCCTCTTTCTTTCCCCTTCAGTACATGCTCTACATTGCTGCCGAGATTACAATTCTCAGACATAAATGGGAATGTGCTTTAAAGCTCCTTGCAGCTCACCTTTGCTTAGGCTTCCTCATGCACAGAAGGCCCTCAGGAACAAACCCTTAAGCAATCAGCAGGGGTCAACTGCTTTATCAGTTGACTCATGATTGCAACAGAATTTATATATCTTTGAGTGTTTTGAAATTAAACAACTTTCTCCTTTATAGCTTCCAATGAACTTGTTACAATGCCTGACACATAGTCACCCTCATCAACATTGTTATCGACCTCAGTCTTGATGGTAAATACTACTGTTATTGAGTGCTGCCTATCTATGTGCCTCGTGCTGTGTTATGTGCTTTACATGTTATCTCATTTAACACTTTATGCCAAACCTATGGAGTAAGTACTAATACCACCAAAATAAAGCACAGAGGTGTTAAATAAATTGCATCAGGACTCACAGGTAGTAAGCAGCAGAGCCATCATTTAAACCCAGTCAGTCCAACTATAGAACTTGCCCCCTTAAACACTACTTTATTCACATAGTGCATATCAATACATGTTTGCTGAGTAAGTGCACAGAAGCATCAAATTGAAAACAAATGGATTTCTTAAAAAGTGCATAAAATGAACTGGGCAATGAGAATTAAAATGTTATTATTTAGCAGTATTCATTAAATAAGATTTTATTTATACTTAGGTGTAAAACAACTCTGTAAATTTAAGAGAATACAACAGTTAACTCATGGTATGCTTCTTCCTGAGATTAATTTATTTTCAAAACTTGCCATTCTAAAAATTATTGAAAATTTAATTATTAGACACTTTTCTTCTGTGGTCATTTCTCAAAGGTGAACCAGTTACATGTTTTCTGAGACATTTACTGTGTCTGTTAAGGTCGTGGTGGCCCAAAAAGAAGATTTTGAGATTAACAGCTTCCCGTTATAAAATTTTTATTTTTTGTCCTATCCTTTAATGAAAGTGTATTCTGTTGTTTCTCAAGCAGAAAGCTAATAAAGTTACTCAAGTAATATTTAAAAATTTATAGCGATACCTGGTAAGAAACTAGGCCAGTGATTGCTGTGGTGGTAGCTTAAGCTCTCTTTCCTTCAGAGCGTGGTGTTATGAGAGATCTAATAATTCCTAAATAATAATCTTTGAAAACTTGCAGGAAGAGTAACTGGAGAGGTGAACTCAGTGGCCAAATTTTTGGATGATGTCTCAAATAACTAGCTTTATCTGAGTTGGCTAAGTTTAAATGCGTAATTACCAGCAAGTCAGTCTTGCCTTTCCTCCTACTGTGACCCATTTCTTACTAATCATGTGCATGTTTTCATATTCTCAGTATTGAAAACAATAAAATTAACATCTCATTTTTTATTTCTGAGATTATCTATTTTCACCTTTACTACCAGTGTCCTTTTATTGATGGCAGTACTATAGAACAAAAGAGCCACTTTAATAGCCATGTAACTTATAGCCTTGTGTACCAGAGGATGAAAGGCCTGGTGTAAAATAATAACTTTATAAGGTAGGATTTGTTTTATGAAAAGCACTGCACCTTGAGCAGAGTACAAAGATCAGTTATGATGCATGTTTGACTGGCACAGTAAAGTTGTTGCCTCAATTGTCATTGACCAATTACTGTTTTATTATATTTTCTTTTTATTTTTATGACAGAGAATGCAACTTTTCCCACAATCAGTCCTTGAGCACAAATTCAACAACAATTTGGGGAAAGAGAATAAAAGGAATCTTAGTTTTATCTGCACAAAGGGACCAATTGGGGTTTACTTGTGCATGTAGTCATATTTCTATAGAGTGTTCCAAAGGTAACTTCTTATTGTAAATGATTCTTTACAGAAAAAATAACTAAAAGGAAACTTGATTTCCTTGACTGTATAGTTTGGAAATATTACAATTCCTAGAGATTTTATATGTGTATATGCAGAATAGATTTGCAGAGATGTAAATGTAATAAAGTAGAACATGATATTGATTATATTCCAGATAAGAGTCATTATTGTTGTCATTGGGAATACAACCAGCGTTCTTTTGTTAAAAATATTAAATCTATTTTTATTAAAAATTTTCCCCCAAATTAGAGTTTTAATATTTAAATCTGAGGGCTTATGTATTTACCATTTGAACAAATAAACACATAGTAATACATTTTGATGAGAGATGTACACGTTTTAAATTTTTTTAACATAACACCAGCATTTTTCCCAATCTCTTACTTTAACTCTATCCTAGGGAAGGGATAGCCTTTGCATGTTCATAACTTACCCTGTCTTTAGGGAAAATGTGGCAAACAGGCAGCCCTACCATAGCTCTCCATTCCCCTTTTCCATCCCCTTAGCACAGAAAGTGTGAACCAGTGGAATATGAGTAACCATCAGGCAGAGTTACTGCTTCCTTAGCACCACCATGTCTCCAAGAAATAAATACAAATTCGATGTTTCTCCTTCCTAGCATTTCTCCTGATACTTCTTCAGGGGTATCAACAGCAGCCCCAAGAAAAGTGGAAGGCTGTATAGAATGGCTTAATAATGCCTCTGATTAAAAAGAAAAAAATAAGTCAAAGACACAAAGAGAGACGAGATGGAAAAAATAAAACCTCTCCATGGTAAATATGAAAATATTTATAAATAAATGTCCTTAGTTATTTAGATAATTTAATTTTATTATTTTATTTTCAATACAAATACTAGTACTCACAGTTGTGCAAAAAAAAAAAAGAATCTGTGTAATGCTTTTTTGTGTGTGATTCGGAGGATTTTCTAATGTGATATATTGTGCGCTACCGCCGAAAACTGTCCTCACGTCATTGCTTTGTGGAAATGTAATTTTATTCTGTTAGAAAGTTACCCATGAATATGATGTGTGTGTGTGTGTGTGTGTGTGTGTGTTGAGGTGTAAAATAAAATAACTTTCTAACAATATTATGAAAATGAATATTTGATAATGTAGGGTATTAGTAGGGGTTAACAACAGTGGAGGGTAAGTCATGGAGCATTTACTATTTCTAAAGTAATACATTAATATAACACATAGCAGCAAAGTTTTCACTTAACAATTAGATTGCCATCTGTTAAAAGATACTGTCATTTCCTTTCTTTTTAAATATGTAATATTTCTCTGTGGTATTGTCTCTGAAGCCAGAAGCCGACTTCGAAATGTTACATGTGTATTGTAGAATATTCCCATTTTTTTCTAAGCTAGAGCCCAAACACGATAATAGGATTTGGCTTCTATAATATAATGACAGGAAAACAATATTCAAGTGCTAAAAAAATCCAAAGAACTTAAAACATTTTTTCATATAGTATATTTGTTTTCTTCTTATATTTGCCTACATATCTGTTAACTGATAAAATCTAATGATGTGAAAGAAGATTTTATTTACATTTGTATCCTCCATCTGCCAAAAGCATTTTAGATAATTATCAAAAGAATGCTACAAAGTTCTATTTGAGATCTGAAAATAACTTAGAACTTTTTTTACTGAATAAAATACATAAAATTTAATTATAACTTCTGGCACACAAATAAATTGGAAAATAATTTTAAGGACTTGAGAATAATATTGTCGTGAAGCTTAATGAAAATAATATAAAAACAGGGCAGGGGGAGCTTCACTCTTTTGCATGTTATTTTTTCTTGAAAAGAGTATAAAATGTCCAAGGATGGAGAACGCCAGCATTAGAAAAGGCGGTCTCTCTGTACAATAACTCAGGGATAAAAATTATTATTGGAAAATTAATGTCAAGTGGTTAAGTAGAGGGTTGTTTGTCACTGGTTGGGCTGAATTTCTCACAGCTCAATAAGAAGTTAAATATCAAACATCGACTACTTCGATATTTAGATTTCTATTGCACAGAGTGACACGCTGCAGCTTGAGAACGAATAATTGCTGGATCTTTGTCATTGTTGGTACTTTAGAAATGGTAGGGGTCGAGGGGAGCTCTATTCTGAGTTCTGTTTCCTTTCATAAGCCTTCGGTTCTGACTTTAATTTTCTTCAGCTTGCCTCCGAGATGCTGAAAAACTACAAGATCTTGTTCACAAGCATGTTCAGAATCTTTCTTTTAAACCCACCCCAGCTTTATTTTCTTAAGTGACTTAATCAAAGGTAATTCGAGTTCACATTTTTGTATCAATGGTTGCATTTAAAGAGGTCTTATCTGATTTCCATCACCAATTACAGGCTTGCATTTCTTGTTTATATCCACCTAAAAGCTGACAAGGGCCTGGTTTGGTTTTGATAGGAAGTCAAGCCTTCATCTCATGTCAAAAGTCCCTAAAGCACATTTGTTCTGGTAAAATTATATCTCGGGAATGATGGGTTCTAATACGAAATGAGGATGTGGTGGCGTGGGGTGGTCCCTGCCACTTTGTTTGAAAAATAAATTGTGAAACCTCAGTAGTAAATATTTGCCTGAGAGAACACAGTGGGAGGGAAATTACAGTGCTGGGGAATATTGCCATTAAGAGGACTGAAGTCAGAGGTTAACGTAACAGGAGTTGGTCTAGTCAAAAAGGTCACCGCGGGTTGGCCCACTCAGCAGAGAGCTCCTAGATGACTTTTAACTATTTTTGGCAAGATAGACATCATATGTCGCTGCCTTTGGGAGCAAAGAACAAAGGTCGAAGACCCAGGGGGATTAACTTCTTAAAAAGAGATACAATATTTAACTTGGCTGCCCTCAAAAGCCTTGGGTTTTCTGGCTTGCTTTCCTTAGCAATGGAATTCCAGGTTTTGTTTTAAACAAATAGAGTATCTTTTTAGAAGTCAAGATGTGGACACTAAACCTAATATCACAAGAAATGGCAGATTTTAAGTTAAATTTTAGATTTCAACTTATTTCAGAGACATGGTAGTCTGAATTGTTCTGTGCTGTGAACCACCTCCCCACCATCCCTGGGGGTCCTCTGCACCTCTGTTTAGTTCCCACAGTACCCTGGACACCCCAGCACCTGCTCTTCCCACTCTAGGCTGTACCTGTTAGCTGTCTGTTTCATCCAAATGAACTCTGAGTTTCCTGTGCTTCTCCTAGTTTATCTTACTTATTATTGACATCATTTAGTTCAGACAGTTATTCTGAAGCCAGATTGCCTTTGCTTCTTCTATGCTGGGTAAAATTGGACGAGTTACTTGTTCTCACTCTGCTTCAGTTTCCTTGAACTTAAGTAACAGTAATGATAGCACCAAATTCATGGGTTTGATATAATGATGAAGTGAGTTAAATTGAAACACAATCTCTTATTCACAATACTCAAATCCAAAATGTTCTGGAGACTGGAAAATTTTTCATAAATTTGTAGCAAACTCATTTGGCAAAACCTGGCCTGAACTAACATGAAGCTGCTTGTAGACTTTATCCCATTTGGTGTGACTGTTGAAATGTTTCAGTGCAGAAAAGTTAATATATTGCATTATGGGGTGCTGCTCCAGACCCATTTAGCTTGTTGTATACTCCACAAGCATCTTAAGAATTCTGAATTACAAATCATATCTGACTCCAAAAGTGTAGATGAAGAGTTTTGCTTAGTGGCACACAGAAAGCAATTGAAACCTGTAATCTATAATTATGATTTGCATTCTTACACCTGAAGTGATATCTGGCACAAAGCAGGTGCTTAATAAATCCTAGTGCTATTTTTAAAACAAATGCTCATTGATCACTTACGGTTCTCTTTACACCCAGCCTGGCTCTTTCCACCAAGTCCTGTGAGGTCAAGGTGTTCTTCCAAGGTCACACAGTAGGTGGGCGAGTAAGAATTCCAAAACGGGCAGGTTGACTCCAAACTGTATGCACAGAACCAGTTCACAAATTGCTAGTACTGAAACATACACTGAGCACCCACATCTCCAGAACAAAGCTATGGTGCTGCTTCGATGGAATCTGAATGCAGTGTGTCCAATGGCCTTTTTAAGTTTTGTGCTTTCTGTTGAATTTTATGTTGACGCTAGTGAAATCAGGGGCAGAACAAAAAAGTGAGCATCTTGAAAGAAAGATCGATGACAGATCACATGCATGTGTGTGTGTTTGTGCGCATTCATCTGCTAATGTCAACCAGTAATGCTACTGCACAATTAAGGTATATGAAAGTCAAATAATAAAGGCATGTGCTACACAGTTTTTCTCTTGTTTTCCTGCTGTGAATCACTTCTATATCCTAAGTCAGCAAATATTTGAATATTAAAGATATTCAGCATTTGTTTGTCCTTTCACTTAATCATTATCTCAAATATCTATAACACAAAATAGTCTCAGAATTTTCAACTTCTTGTACATCTGATAGAAAAAAATAGGGTCATCCAGTGATTAATGGTATTTTTTATTATGTAAGCCTCAAATCCATTCTTTATGAAAATGCCAGTGTATACAGAAATTGAAAAATATTTCCTCTTTTTAGTGCCAATTAAAAATAGCTTCTTTGAAGCTTAGAAGAATGTGTTCATTTTTTAAATATATTATATTATCTTATATTTCTATTAAAAGTGTGGTCTATGTGATTATCATGAGCCAATCTAAACTGTTCACTATGTTTTACCCACAATGATTAATCTCTTTTAACTTATATCATGAAGAACTTTACCGATAATTACTTGGTGTGATAGAAAGAACTCAGGAGAGTAATGACAGATGCTAAAATATGCTGTGGTTTTGCCCAAGTTATTTAGTGCATTGGGTGGACTTTTTTTGCCTTCTTTTATTATTATTACTATTATTATACTTTAAGTTCTGGGGAACATATACAGAACATGCAGGTTTGTTACATAGGTATACATGTATCATGTTGGTTTTCTGCACCCATCAACATTAGGTATTTCTCCTAATGCTATCCCTCCCCTAGCCCCCCACCCCCTGACAGGCCCTGGTGTGTGATGTTTCCCCTCCCTGTGTCCATGTGTTCTCATTGTTCAACTCCCACTTATGAGTGAGAACATGCAGTGTTTGGTTTTCTGTTCTCATGTTAGTTTGCTGAGAATAATGGTTTCCAGTGTCATCCATGTTCCTGCAAAGGACATGAACTCACCCCTTTTTATGGCTGCATAGTATTCCATGGTGTATATGTGCCACATTTTCTTGATCCAGTCTATCATTGATGGGTATTCGGGTGGATTCCAAGTCTTTGCTATTGCGAACAGTGCCGCAATAAGCATACATGTGCATGTATCTTTATAGTAGAATGATTTATAATCCTTTGGGTATATACCCAGTAATGGGATTGCTGGGTCAAATTGTATTTCTAGTTCTAGATCCTTGAGGAATCACCACACTGTCTTCCACAATGGTTGAACTAATTTATATTCCCACCGACAGTGTAAAAGCGTTCCTATTTCTCCACATCCTCTCTAGCATCTCGTTTCTTGACTTTTTAATGCTCGCCATTCTAACTGTTGTGAGATGGTATCCACTGTGGTTTTGATTTGCATTTCTCTAATGACCAGTGATGATGAGCTTTTTTCATATGTTTGTTGGCTGCATAAATGTGTTCTTTTGAGAACTGTCTGTTTATATCCTTCACTCACTTTTTGATAGGGTTGTTTTTTCTTGTAAATTTGTTTAAATTCTTTGTAGATTCTGGATATTAGCCCTTTGTCAGATGGATAGATTGCAAAAATTTTCTCCCATTCTGTAGGTAGCCTGTTCACTCTGATGATAGTTTCTTTTGCTGTGCAGAAGCTCTTTAGTTTAATTAGATCCCATTTGTCAATTTTGGCTTTTGTTGCCATTGCCTTTGGTGTTTTAGTCATGAAGTCTTTGCCCATGCCTATGTCCTGAATGGTATTGTCTAGGTTTTCTTCTAGGGTTTTTATACTTTTAGGTCTTACATTTAGGTCTTTAATCCATCTTGAGTTAATTTTTGAAGAAGGTGTAAGGAAGGGGTCCAGTTTCAGTTTTCTGCATATGGCTAGCCAGTTTTTCCAACAGCTTTTACTAAACATTGCTTGTTTTTGTCAGGTTTGTCAAAGATCAGATCAGATGGATGAAGATGTGTGGTGTTATTTCTGAGGCCTCTGTTCTGTCCCATTGGTCTATTTATCTGTTTGGTGCCAGTACCATGTTGTTTTGGTTACTGTAGCCTTGTAGTATAGTTTGAAGTCAGGTAGTGTGATACCTCCAGCTTTGTTCTTTTTGCTTCGGATTGTCTTGTCTATGTGGGCGCTTTTTTGGTTCCATATGAAATTTAAAGTTGTTTTTTCTAATTCTGTGAAGGAAGTCAATGGTAGATTGATGGGGATTGCATTGAATCTATAAATTACTTTGTGCAGTATGGCCATTTTCATGATATTGATTCTTTCTATCCATGAGCATGGAATGTTTTTCTATTTGTTTATGTCCTCTCTTATTTCCTTGAGCAGTGGTTTGTAGTTCTCCTTGAAGAGGTCCTTCACATCCCTTGGAAGTTGTATTCCTAGGTATTTTATTCTCTTTGTAGCAGTTGTGAATGGGTGTTCACTCATGATTTGGCTCTTTGTCTGTTATTGGTGTATAGGAATGCTTGTGATTTTTGCACATTGATTTTATATCCTGAGACTTTGCTGAAGTTGCTGATCAGCTTAAGGAGATTTTGGGCTGAGACTATGGGATTTTCTAAATATACAATCATGGCATTTGTAAGAGAAACAATTTGATTTCCTCTTTTCCTATTTGAATACCGTTTGTTTCTTCCTCTTGCCTAATTGCCCTGGCAAGAACTTTCAATACTATGTTGAATAGGAGTAGTGAGAGATGGCATCCTTGTTTTGTGCCAGTTTTCAAAGGGAATGCTTCCAATTTTGCCTATTCAGTATGATATTGGCTGTGGGTTAGTCATAAATAGCTGTTATTATTTTGAGATACATTCCATCATTACCTAGTTTATTGAGAGTTTTTAGCATGAAGTGATGTTGAATTTTGTTGAAGGCCTTTTCTGCATCTATTGAGATAATCATGTGGTTTTGTCGTTGGTTTTGTTTAGATGATGGATTATGTTTATTGATTTGTGTATGTTGAGCCAGCCTTGCATCCCGGGGATGAAGCCGTCTTGATCGTAGTGGATAAGCTTTTTGATATGCTGCTGGATTCAGTTTGCCAGTATTTTATTGAGGATTTTCACATCGATGTTCATCAGGAATATTGGCCTGAAATTTTCTTTTTTTGTTGTGTCTCTGCCAGGTTTTGGTATCAGGATGATGGTGGCCTCATAAAATGAGTTAGGGAGGATTCCCTCTTTTTCTATCATATGGAATAGTTTCAGAAGGAATGGTACCACCTCCTCTTTCTACCTCTGATAGAATTCGACTGTGAATCCATCTGGTCCTGGAATTCTTTTGGTTGGAAGGCTACTAATTACTGCCTCAATTTCAGAACTTGTTATTGGTCTATTCAGGGATTCGCCTTCTTATTGATTTAGTCTTGGGAAGGTGTGTGTGTCCAGGAATTTATCCAAATTTTTTAGATTTTCTAGTTTATTTGTGTAAAGGTGTTTATAGTATTATCTGATGGTAGTTCGTATTTCTGTGGGATAAGTGGTGATATCCCGTTTATCATTTTTTATTGTGTCTATTTGATTCTTCTCTCTTTTCTTCTTTATTAGTCTGGCTAGTGGTCTATTTTGTTGATTTTTTCAAAAAACAAGCTCCTGGATTCATTGATTTTTGGAAGGGTTTTTCGTGTCTCTATCTCCTTCAGTTCTCCTCTGATCTTAGTTATTTCTTGTCTTCTGCTAACTTTTGAATTTGTTTGCTCTTGCTTCTCTAGTTCTTTTAATTGTGATGTTATGGTGTCAATTTTAGATCTTTCCTGCTTCCTCTTGTGGGCATTTAGTGCTATAAATTTCCCTCTAAACACTGCTTTAAATATGTCCCAGAGATTCTGGTACGTTGTGTCTTTGTTTTCATTGGTTTCAAAGAATATCTTTATTTCTGCCTTAATTTTGTTATTTACTCCATAGTCATTCACGAGCAGGTTGTTCAGTTTCCATGCAGTTGTGCAGTTTTGAGTAAGTTTCTTAATCCTGAGTTCTAATTTGATTGCACCATGGTCTGAGCACTGTTTTTTTGTGATTTCCATTCTTTTGCATTTGCTGAGAAGTGTTTTACTTCCAATTATGTGGTCAATTTTAGAATATGTACAGTGTGGGGTTGAGAAGAATGTATGTTCTGTTATTTTGGGGTGGAGAGTTCCATAGGTGTCTATTAGGTCCTCTTGGTCCAGAGCTGAGTTCAAGTCTTGAATATCCTTGTTAATTTTCTGTCTCGTTGATCTGTCTAATATTGACAGTGGGGTGTTAAAGTCTCCCACTATTATTGTGTGGGAGTCTAAGTCCCTTTGTAGGTCTCTAAGAACTTGCTTTATGAATCTGGGTGCTCCTGTATTAGTTGCATATATATTTAGGATAGTTAGCTCTTCTTCTTGAATTGATCCCTTTATCGTTAGGTAATGCCCTTCTTTGTCTTTTTTGATCTTTGTTGGTTTAAAGTCTGTTTTATCAGAGACTAGGATTGCAACCCCTATTTTTTTCTTTTCTTTTGCTTGGTAAATATTCCTCCATCCCTTTATTTTGAGCCTATGTGTGTCTTTGCATGTGAGATGGGTCTCCTGAATACAGCACACTGATGGGTCTTAACTCTATCAAATTTGCCAGTATGTGTCTTTTAATTGGGGCATTTAGCCCATTTACATTTAAGGTTAATATTGTTATATGTGAATTTGATCCGTCATTATGATGCTAGCTGGTTATTTTCCGCATTAGTTGATGCAGTGTCTTCATGGTGTCAATGGTCTTTACAATATGATATGTTTTTGCAGTGGCTGGTACTGGTTGTTCCTTTCCATGTTTAGTGCTTCCTTCAGGAGCTCTTGTAAGGCAGGCCTGGTGGTGACAAAATCTCTCAGCATTTGCTTGTCTGTAAAGGATTTTATTTCTCTTTTGCTTATGAAGCTTAGTTTGGCTGGATATGAAATTCTGGGTTGAAAATACTCTTCTTTACAATTGTTGAATATTGGCCCCCACTCTCTTCTGGCTTGTAGGGTTTCTGCTGAGAGATCAGCTGTTAGTCTGATGGGCTTCCCTTTGTGGGTAACCCGACCTTTCTCTCTGGCTGCCCTTTATGTTACTTTATTTCAACCTTGGTGAATCTGACGATTATGTGTCTTGGGGTTGCTATTTTTGAGGAGTATCTTTGTGGTGTTCTCTGTATTTCCTGAATTTGAATGTTGGCCTGTCTTGGTAGCTTGGGGATGTTCTCCTGGATAATATCATGAAGAGTGTTTTCCAATTTGGTTCCATTCACCCCGTCACTTTCAGGTACACCAGTCAAATGTAGATTTAGTCTTTTCACATAGTCCCATGTTTCTTGAAGGCTTTGTTCATTCTTTTTTCTCTAATCTTGTTCTTTCACTTTATTTCATTAAGTTGATTTTCAATCTCTGATATCCTTTCTTCTGCTTGATTGATTCAGCTATTGATACTTGTGTATGCTTCACAAAGTTCTTGCACTGTGTTTTTTAACTCCATCATATCATTTATGTCCTTCTCTAAACTGGTTATTCTAGTTAGCAATTTGTCTACCCTTTTTTCAAGGTTCTTAGCTTCCTTACATCGGGTTAGAACATGCTCCTTTAGCTCAGAGGAGTTTGTTATTACCCACCTTCTGAAGCCTACTTCTGTCAATTTGTTAAACTCATTCTCCATCCAGTTTTGTTCCCTTGCTGGCAAGGAGTTGTGATCCTTTGGAGGAGAAGAGGTGTTCTGGTTTTTGGAATTTTCAGCCTTTTTGTGCTGGTTTCTCCCTATCTTCATGGATTTATCTACTTTTGGTCTTGATGTTGGTGACCTTCGGGTGGGGTCTCTGAGTAGACACCCTTTTTGTTGATGTTGATGCTCTTCCTTTCAGTTTGTTAGTTTTCCTTCTAAGAGTCAGGCCCCTCTGCTGCAGGTCTGCTGGAGTTTGCTGGAGTTTCACTCCAGACCCTGTTTGCCTGGGTATCACCAGCAGAGGCTCCAGAACAGCAAAGATTCCTGCCTGTTTCTTCCTCTGGAAGCTTCACCCCAGAGGGACACCCACCAGAGCTCTCCCGTATGAGATGTCTGTCGGTCCCTACTGGGAGGTGTTTCCCAGTCTGGATACATGGGGGTCAGGGACCCACTTGAAGAGGTAGTCTGGCCCTTATCAGAACTCGAACTCTGTACTGGGAGATCTGCTGCTCTCTTCAGGGCTGTCAGGCAGGGAGGTTTAAATCTGCTGAAGCTGTGCCCACAGCTGCCCCTTCACCCAGGTGCTCTGTCTCAGGGAGATGGGGGTTTTATCTCTAAGTCCCTGACTGGGGATGCTGCCTTTTTTTCAGAGATACCTGAAGAAGAGATGCCCAGAGAGGACGAATCTAGAGAGGCAGTTTGGCTGCAATAGTTTTGTGGTGCTGTGGTGGGCTCCACCCCGTTCGAACTTTCCGGTGGCTTTGTTTACACTGTGGGGGTAAAACTGCCTACTCAAGCCTCAGCAATGGTGGATACCCCTCCCCCCACCAAGCTTGAGTGTCCCAAGCTGACCTCAGACTACTGTGCTGGCAGTGAGAATTTCAAGCCAGTGGATCTTAGCTTGCTGGGGTCTGTGGGGGTGGGACCCGCTGAGCCAGACCACTTGGCTCCCACTTGGCTTCCCAGACCACTTGGCTTCAGCCCCTTTTCTGGGGGAGTGAACGGTTCTGTCTCACTGGTGTTCCAGGTGCCACTGGGGTATGAAAAAAGAAAAAAAAAAGAAACTCCTGCAGCTAGCTCGGTGTCTGCCCAAACCTTTGTCCAGTTTTGTGCTTGAAACCCAGGACCCTGGTGGTGTAGGCACCAGAGGGAATCTCCTGGTCTGCGGGTTGTGAAGACCATGGGAAGAGCACAGTATCTGGGCTGGAGGGTACCATTCCCTCACGACACAGTCCCTCAGAGGCTTCCCTTGGCTAGGAGAGGGAAATCCCCAGACCCCTTGCACTTCCCAGGTGAGGCAATGCCCCAGCCTTCTTCAGCTCACCCTCCATGGGCTGCACCCACTGTCCAACCAGTCCCAATGAGATGAACTGGGTATCTCAGTTGGAAATGCAGGAATCACCCGCTTTCTGCAACGATCTCGCTGGGAGCTGCAGACCAGAGCTGTTCCTATTTGGCCATCTTGCCCCAGACTCCAGGATAACTGATTGTATTAACAGCCCCACTTTTTCATGCTTCCAAGTATCCACACTACTGATGCCCATCAACACAGATTCTGGGTTTGGTCATATGCCTTAATTTGGACAGTAAACATTAACAAAGTTGATGAAAATAAAGGCCTGAAAAAAGTGCATTTCCACTGTGTTCATGAATCCCCCACCCCTCCCACCATGACCATGAGAATTTGTCCAGGCTGCCCTGCTGAAGGAAGGGATGAAAGGTATTTGGAACAGACCTAATTCATCCAAGCTGATGCCATCCCAGCTGCAGCCAGCTCCTAACCAACTCATTGGTTCATTGCAAATGTTTAAGCAAGCCCAGTTAATATCAATGGAGCCCAGCCAGACAGGAGATCTGCTAAGTTAATCATAGATTCCCAAGAAACAATACACAGTTGCTGTTTTGGAATGGTTCATGTTGTAATAACCACCAGCATTTGCTCCTCTGTTTCTCATGTCCTTTGCCTATTGGAAGAGATGAGACAGAATTTCAGTCCAATTTTAAAATTCTATGCTAATTCTTTATATTAATTTTATGTGTTCAAAGTATTATAGAGTTTGCATTTCAGTATTAGTATCAACAGCAGTACTAACAGCATGGCTCACAGGTATTTATTAAACACACACATGCTTGGCTTTAAATGAACTAAAGAAATTCCCACTATTCAGATCAGGATCAACTTTTTATCCAAAGGCCCAGAGAGTAAATAGTTCAGGCTTTATAGGTCGCATGGTCTCCATCACACCTATATAATTCTGCTGTTATAGATCATAAATGGCTATAGACAATATGTAAACAAATGGGCATGGCTGTGTTCCAATAAAAAATTATTTACAGAAAGAGATGGCAGGTTGGATTTGTTATGTGGGCAGTAGTTTACTAATCACTGATAAACCACTGAAACCAGACAACTTTGCCGTTGGAAAAAAATATGTAACAGCAAATCAACATAAGCATTTAATTTGTTTTTCTTTTTTTATTGTGGCAAAAAACACACAGCATGATATCTATACTCTTAAATTCTCAAGTATACAAAAGAGTATTGCTAACTTTATGCACATTGTTGTACAGCAGATCTCTAGAGTTTTTTCATCTTTATTGATAGAAATTCTATACTCATTGAACAACAACTCCTCATTTCCCTCTTCCCCTATTCCCTGGAACCGCCATTCTACTTTCTGGTCTTATGAGTTTGACTACTTTAGATATCTCCTATAAAGAATTATGCAGTATTTGTCCTTCTGTTACTGGTTTATTTCACTTAGCATAATGACCTCCAGGTTCATCTATGTTGTAGCGTATGTCAGGACTTCCTTCTTTTTTAAGGGGAAATAATATTCCATTTTATGTATATACTACATTTTCTTTACCCATTTATCTACCAGTTGACTTGTAGGTTGGCTCCATATCTTAGTTATTGTGAATAATTCTGCAATGAACATAGGAGTGGAAATATCTATTCAACATCCTGTTTTCGGTTCTTTGGGATAAATACCCAAAAGTGAGATACTTGAATCACATGGTAGTTCTATTCTTAGTTTTTGGAGGAACCTCCATCCTATTTTCAACAGAAGTTGCATTTTTTCATTCCTACCAACAGTTTACAAGGGTTCCAATTTCACCACATCCTCCTAACATTTGATGTATGTATTTATGTATAATGTATACACATATATCATGGCCATTTTAACCACTGTGAGGTGATATCTAATTGTAGTTCTGATTTGCATATCCCTGATGACTAGTGATGTTGAGCATCTTTTTATATACCTATTGATCTTGTTCATGTCTTATTTGGAGAAATGTCTATTCACATTCTTTGCACATTTTTTTACCAAGTTTTTTATTTGTTTCTGCCATTGAATTGTAGAAGTTATTTATATATTTTGGATATTAACTCCTTATCATACATATTGTTTGTACATATTTTCTCCTACTCTCCTACTCTATAGATTGCTTTTTCACTCTGTTGATTACTACTTTTGCTGGGCAGAAGCAAACTAAAGTTTGATGCACTCCCACTTGACTTTTTTTTTCTTTTATTGCCTGTGCTTTTGGTGTCATATCCAAAAAATAATTGCTAAGACTGATATTATGAAACTTTTCTTCTGTGTTTTCTTCCAGGAATTTTGTAGTTTAAGGTCTTACATTTATGTCTAATCCATTTTGAGTTGATTTTTATGTATAATACAACATAAGGGCCCAATTTCATTCTTCTGCATGAAGACATCCAGTTTTCCCACTGGGTTGAGTTGAACCCTTTCCCCACTGTGTGTAGTGTTGACACTTTTGTCGAACATCATTTGACCATACATGGATGGGTTTTATTGCTGTCCCATTGGTCTATATGTCTACGTTCATGCCAGTACTACACTATTACAGTTGCTTTGTAATATGTTTCGAAGTCTCTAGCTTTGTTCTTTCTCAAGATTGTTTTGAAAATTTAGGGTTCTTTGTGATTCCATAGGGATTTTAGGATTGTTTTATCTATTTCTGCAAACAAATGTCATTCAGAGTTTGACAGGGATTGCCTTGAATTTGTAGATTGCTTTGGGTAGTATAAGTATTTAACAATAGTAAGTCTTTTCATCAGTGTACATGAGCGGTTATTCTTATTTGCGTGTTATTTAATTTCTTTTAACAATTGTTTTGTCATTTTTAGTATACCAGTCATTCACCTACTTGGTTGAGTTTATTCTTAAGTATTTCATTCTTTTTGATGCTTTTGTAAATGGGATTGCTTTCCTAATTTCCTTTTCAGATTGTTCGCTGTTAGTGTATAGAAACAACTACATCTTGCATGTTGATTTTATGTCCTGAAACTTTGCTGAATTTATTTATTAGTTTTAACAGGTTTGTGTGTATGTGTGTGTGTGTGAGAGAGAGATAATTTTACTTTCTTTCTGATTTAGATGTCTTTATTTATTTACTTATCTCAACTAGTTGCTCTAGCTAGGACTTCTAGTATTATGTTGAATAGAATTGGTAAGGGTGGGCATCCTTGCCACTCTCCTAACCTTAGAGGAAAACCTTTTAGTTCTTCTTTTTGTGTATGTTGTTACCTGTGGCTTTCCATCTATAACCTTTATTATTTTGAGATAACCTCATTTAATTCCCAGTTTGTTGAATGTGTTAAACATAAAATTTTATTGAAATTTGTCAGTGCTTTTTAAAAAATGTATTGAGATGATCATGTCATTTTCATCTTTAATTCTGTTAATGTGCTGTATCACATTGATTGCTTTTTTTTTCTGTGCTGAAGCAACCTAGGAACAAATCCCACTTGGCCATTGTGTATGATTCTTTTCATGTGTTGTTGAATTTCATTTACTAGTATTTTGTTGGAGATTTCTGCATCTCTATCTATCAGATATATTGATGTCAGGGTTTTTTTCTTAGAATATGTCTTTATCTGGATTTGGAATGAGTGTAATGATAACCTCATACAATGAGTTTGGAAGAGTCTTCTCCTACTCTATATTTTTGAAGATTTTGAGAAGGAATGGCGTTAATTTTTCTTTAGAAGTTTGTAGAATTCTCTAGAAGTTTTTTTTTGTTTTAATTACTATTAGTGAGTTAACCTCCTTACTAGATATGTCTGTTCAGATTTTCTATTTCTTCATGATTCAGTCTTGGTAGGTTTATGTTTCTGGGAACTTACTGATTTCTTCTAGATTACTCAATTTGCAGGCATATTATTGTTCATAGTATTTTTACAAACCTTTCTATTTCTGTGGCATTGTTTGTGATGTATTCTCTTTTGTTTCTTATTTTTAGAATTTGTGTCTTTTCTCTTTTTCTTAGTCTAGCTAGATGTCATTCTTTTGGCCTTTTTTTAAAAAAACTCAGTTTTGTTGATTTTTTAAAAATATTATTTTTCTAATCTCTATTTTGTTTATTTATGTTCTATTATTATTATTATTTCCTTCCCGCTGCTAACTTTGGTGTTAGTTTGTTCTTCTTTTTCTAGTTTTATTGAGAGAAAATTTAAATTGTTTATTTAAGATCCTTCTTATTTTTTAATGTTGCCATTTACCACTATAAACTTCCCTCTTAATACTGCTTTTGCTACATCCTGTAAGTTTTGGTATAATGTGTTTTTGTTTGTCTCAAGATATTTTCCAATTTCCCTTCTGATTTTTTCTTTTATACATTGGTTTCTCAAGAATATGTTGTTTAATTTCCTCTTATTTGTGAATTTGTAGTTTCTTTGTACTGTTAATTTCTGCTTCCAACCCATTGTGGTCAGAAATATATTTGGTATAACTTCAACTTTCTTAGATTTGTTAAGTCCTCCTTTGTAATCTAATGTGATCTATTCTGGACAATGTTCCATGTGCACTTGAGAAGAAAGTGTAATCGGCTACTGTTGGGTAGACTATTTTTTATGTCTTTTAGAACCATTTGATCTGCAATGTTGTTCAAATCCTTTGTTTCTTTATTGATCTTCTCTCCAAATATTCTATTCATTATTCAAAGTTAGATGTTGAAATAGCCTACTATTATTGTGTTGCTGTCTAGTTTTCCCTTTAGTTCTGTCAGCATTTGCTTTATATATTTGGGTGCTATGGTGTTGAGTATATATATATATATATATATATATATATATATATATATATATACACACACACACATATATATACACATATATATATACACACACACATATATATATAAAATTTTGCATTTCCATAGGTTATTGGGGAACAGGTGGTGTTTGGTTACATGAGTAAGTTCTTTAGTGGTAATTTGTGAGATTTTTGTGCACCATTCACCCAAGTAGTATACACTGCACTCAGTTTGTAGCCTTTTATTTCTCACTCCCTTCCCACCCTTTCCCCCTGAGTCCCCAAAGTCAATTGTGTCATTCTTGTGCCTTTGCATTCTCATAGTTTAGTTCCCACTTATGAGTGAGAACATATGATGTTTGGTTTTCCATTCCTGAGTTATTTCATTTAGAATAATAGTCTCAAAATACCATATAAAAAGATAAAATTTGACACCAAAATATAAAGTGATATAAGGTAGAGTTAAAAACTATAACAAAGACAAATTGGTACGTTATAAAATAATAAATGTCAGCTCACCAGGAAGATGTAACAATAAATAATTAAAAACCTAAGAAAATTATAGGACAACAAATAATAAACATCAATAAACTTTATTGTATTGTATAAATAATTGTTATATCTTCCTGGTGAATTGACATTTATTATTTTATAATGTACTTCTTTGTCTTGTGTTATAGTTTAACTCTACTTTATGCCACTTTATATTTTGGCATCAAATTTTATCTTTTTATATGGTATTTTTATTAGCATGTTTTATAGTTATAATTTTTAAAATACTTTTATTATTTATCTTCTTTATCAGAACTAAAATATTATATAAACCACCATTGCACTACATTATTACAGTTTTCTGTCTTTGCCCACATATTTATCTTTACCAGTGAGCTTTACACTTTCATATGCTTTCATGTGTGCTCTCTTTTTGTTTCAATTTAACAACTCCCTTTAACATTTCCTGTATGGCAAGTCTAGTGGTGATAAACTCTCTCAGCCTGTATTTATTTGGGAAAATATTTCTCCTTCATTTTCTAAAGACAGTTTTGCTGGACAAAGAATTCTTGGTCAACAGAGTTGTTTTGTTGCATTTTGTTTTTCTTTCAGCAGTTTGCCTATATCATCTCAAACCCTCTCTAGCCTGTAATGTTCCTGCTAAGAAATCTGCTGATAGTCTCATGGAGGCTTACTTTTACATGATAAATCGCTTTTGCTGCTTTCATCTTTCTTCTTTTTTTTTAATTTTGAGAATTTCATTATAATGTGTCTCGGTGTGGACTTTTTTGGTTCATTCTATTTAGAAATCTATTGGCTTCTTAAATCCGGATGCCCATTTCCTTCTCTCAATTTGGGAAGCTTTAGGTAATTATTCCTTTAAATAAGCTTTCTTCCATTTATGTCTCTCTGTACCATCTGACACCCTCTCAATGTATACATTAGTCTGTTTGATGTTGTCCCATAGGTCTCTCAGGTTCTCTTCACTAATGTTTAGTCTTTTTTTCTCTTCTGACTGGATAAATTTAGATGATCTGTTTATTTCACTGATTCTTTCTTCTGCTTTATTAGTCAGTTGTTGAGTTTCTCCAGTGAATTTTTCAATTTATTCTACTCTTTAGCTTAAAAATTCTATTCGTTTTAAAAATATATTTTATCTCTTTGTTACTATTGTCATTTTGTTCAAGCATATTTTCTTGAAATTGTTGGGCATCTTTTCAGTGGTTATTTTGAATTATTTGTCAGGTAATTTATGTAGCTCTATTTCTGTGTTACCATTAAATCAGTATTTTCATGAGGGAAGGAAGGTCTAGGTCTTTCTACTTCACCTTCTTGCTAAGATCAATCCCCTTATTGTTGATGTTTTTTTCTTTGTTGGAAATCATATTGCTTGTTTGAGGTTTCTACCAGGCAGAGAAGTGTCTTAAAGAAAATGAAAACTTAGTAACAGGAAAAGAAATATTTATGAGAGAATAGAATAATATATACAGGTAAGAAAGTAAAAATAATGGATGTTCCTGTGCCGATACTAGGTCACACAGCTTCAAACTATTTAATTTTACTCACTATAATGTGAGAAGCAAAGCGTTTCTTTTAAAATATAGGATCAACAAATATTTATGTAATTACCATAATGATTTTCAATGCTGAATTTTTTAAAGCTGCATTAGTCACAAAACTACTAATGTGGAATTATATTTTACATTCATGTAGTCCATATGGTACAATGAGCATAGCTTTGTTTTGTGCTTAATAAATGTTTGATAAAGGATTAATAAGGTCTATTGTTCTTTAGAAGAAAGAGTAAGATGAGAACTTCTTTTTCTTCTCATTTTATTGATGTACTCTAAAAGATACCAAACTCCTAGGTATAATGCAGTCACTCCATTGGAAAGTTGGAATCAAAACTAAATATCCACTGATTGAGCCTTTGCCTAGTTTTGGACTTCAAGTAGCACTACATTTGATATTCAAAACTGTCCTTAATAATTATGTTTGTAATACCAAGCCTTACAGAAAACATTTTCTTTATATATTGTCAATAGGCAATTAGAAAATTTAATAGGAGAAAAGATCACAGTCTCAGTTGCAATAAAAACTACAAAATATCTTTATCCAGTCTATCATTGATGGGCATTTGGGTTGGCTCCAAGTCTTTGCTATTGTGAATAGTGCTGCAGTAAACATATGTGTGCAGGTGTCTTTATAGTAGAATGATTTATAGAATACTATGCAGCCATAAAAAAGGGATGAGTTCATGTCCTTTGCAGGGACATGGATGACATTGGAAACCATCATTCTCAGCAAACTAACACAAGAACAGAAAACCAAACATGGCATGTTCTCACTCAGAAGTGGGAGTTGAACAATGAGAACACATGGACACAGGGAGGGGAACATCACACACTGGGGCCTGTTGGGTTGGGAGGCTAGGGGAGGGATAGCATTAGGAGAAATACCTAATGTAGATGACGGGTTGATGGATGCAGCAAACCACCATGGCACATGTATACCTATGTAACAAACCTGCACATTCTGCACATGTACCCCAGAACTTAAAGTATAAAAAAAAATTACAAAGTATCATGACATAAAATACACAAATAATGATAGTATACCTAACTAATTCCTAGGGACATAACCACTGGACCCAGACTACCTAAATGTGAATCACAGCTCTACTGCTTACTAACTGTATGATGCTGAGCAATTTTTTAATGTACCTCTATTACCTTGTGTTAAAAATGCAAAATATAATAACTATTTCACAGGATTTTTGTGTGGATTAAAGAAGGAGAATATGTGTAAATTAGTTAGAAAAGTGCCTGGCACAGAGTAAATTCTATGGTAGGTTTAGTTTATCATTATTATTGTTCCTATTTCATGAAGAAAATTACAAAATGGTAATGAATGACATATCAGGTAATAGATAAAAATAGAAATAAAAGTCATGTTCAGAAAAGATAAACTCAAATGGAAACACAAATTAACTAAGATAAAAGTCAGTTTTACTTTCTTCTACTGAAGGAAGTAGAAATAAATAACATGATCCTGAATAAAAGAATTTAAAAGAGTTAAACTAAATTGATCTATAAATTTAAATTCTCATAAAACTTTCAATTTGGCTTTGCAGAACTTGACAAATTGATTATTAATTTGGAAGATAACAACAATAAAGATAGCTGTAAAAAAAACTGAAAAAAAACCAGTAGTAATGGTATTGCCCTAACAGGTATTAAGACATACTATAAAGCTATTTTAATTAAAACTATGCAGTATCGGTGCATGAATAGACAAACTTATTAGTGGAACAGAATAGAGAATATAAGTCTATCAGTAGAGAACATAATGAGTCTAAGACTCATTATATATGGCAATTTAGTATGTAATATAATGGCATTTCAAATAATTAGGTGAAAGACAGACTACTTACTAAATTGTGTTAGCTATGGCTATTCATATGCAGAAAGTAAGACAGATATTTTTCACACTTTATTTTACAGAAATGTGAATTTCAGGTGGATTCAAGATTTCCATATTTAAAAACTACCAAAAATAGAAAAGTCTTAATATGCATTATCTAGAACACAAAATATAGAAGTCATATGACATTTTTACTACAATGAAATGTAAAGATTTTATAGTAATAAAAGACATTAACAAAATTTAAAAGCATGCAAAGAATATGAATAATATTTGATATATCTGATTCAAATGATTAATATTCATAATATGTTAGATCTTGAAAATCATCAATTTAAAGATAAAACCCAACATATAGACAAAAAATACATAATCCATGAGATGTCCAACTTTATCATTAATTAGACAAATCCAAAATTATTTTTAAAACGATTTACTATTTTTTATTCATTAGATTACATGAAATTTAAAAGTGTTAATATTCTATTTGGTTGGTAATGCCCAATTTTACCAATGAGAGAATTGCAACTTTAAAAGAGTTGTATAGAATTGCTGGAGTGCAGGGGAGGTTGTGAAGACACATGTACTCACTGTTGGTGCAATGCAAATTTCTAATGCATTTTAGATGATGATTTGTGGGTTTCTTAAAAGATAATTTTTATACCATTTGATCCAACAATTTAATTCTAGGAATGGAAGTTACAGGTGTACTCACAGAAATGCAGATACACACACACATACACACACACACACACACACACACACACACACACGATGCTCATTGCAACATATGCTAATTTTGAAAAATAGAAAAAAATTAAAGATCTATCCACAGGAGAATAAATTACTTCCAGAGTATGGAATACTATGCAACATGTAAAATGAATATGATAAATCCTTATGGAATGATCCAGAAAAATCATAAGATATATTATTAAGTGAAAGGAGGGTTGTAGAGTATAAAATAATAAAAACAACAATACTTATATAATGTTTACTATGTGCTAGCAATGGTTATAAGTATTTCATGTATATGAAGTATTAAGAATTGTGGAACACATACACATGCAACAATTCTCACAAAATTCTTTGAGGTGTATACTGTTATTATCCATATTTTAAATAAGAGGAAGCTGAGGCACAGAAAGGTCTATTGACTTGGAGAAGGCTGAAGATTTTAAATTCAGGCCGTCTGACTCCTGAGTTTTGTGTGTATATGAGATGAGGCCTCCCTAAAAACAAAATAAAGACAATAACAATTTTAAATATCTAAAACTCTACAGGTATATTTATGTATGTATATATAACATAGTGCAACACATTATGAATGCATGGTAAAAGACCTCAAAGGATATACATTAACGTATTAATAGTATTGGCTTCAGGATAAGTGGGGAGTGTCTTTTTAACTCAATATTTTTCAGTATTGTTTGGAGTTTTACATCAAGAATTATTCCTTTTTTTTTAACACAGCAGCATTATATCCTGAAGAATTATTCATTCAATACTTGTAAAACTAAAAATAATTATTTAATTTAAAATAATCATCTATTATACACACAAATACATGTTACACTTTTTCACTTTACTTAACTGTGTATAATGTTGCTGGTTATTTGTGACAAATTGTGTATTGATCATGTCAACAAGGGCTAGAATTTAAGAACAAATGAGATCATATACTTTAAATAGTTTATTGATCATTCAATTAACCATATTAAAATTTCAACCTGTTGGGCCACTATTGGACAATTACATAATATAAGATATATTGGAGTATAATAACAGGTACATCTTGATCCAAGGTCATGTTGACTGCTTTCATATCTGTGTGATTAAATAGTTCATCCTCCTTTCCAGAATTTGTAGTTTTCTTTTCCTTTTCTGTCATGTTTAAATGGGTGACTAGGCCCTATAATGCAAAAATGGTTCATCACAGTGAAAAATCTTGGCAACCTGAGTCCTTTGGTTTTTTAAATAATTCTTTTATTCAAATTGATTTAGAATCCAATCCTCTACCAGCAATCCCAGGTGCCATAAGGCCTGGGGCCTGAAACAGACCCACTTCTAACTTGAGTGTCACCTCATTGTACCTAAAGTGATTTAGAAATACAAACTTGGAAAATAATTGCTTACAAAGCACACGTCTGCTGCTTCAGGGACCCTTTGAAAAGTATCTTACAGCAAAGGAAGCCCCTGCTGGAATAGAAGAGGATGTTCTGATCTGAGTTTTGTTTGATGATTACATTGGTATGAATTAAATGTAGTAGAGATTTTCAGTTTAAGCATTAGACAGCAACCAAGATTCTTTATGATAAAATATGATATACAATGATTTTATGCAGACAAAAATTTAAGGATAGCAAAATTCTAAAGCTTGATTGTTTATGGGCTAATACTTCAAGCTTCCAATCGCTCCATTTTAAACGACCTCGAGTTTACAATGATGCATCTAAAAAGCACTAACAAATCCTACCCATTCAACTCTAGTTATTGAAATGGTGTCTACCTTTGAGCTATAAAAATAACAGGTGATTGGCCGGGCGCGGTGGCTCACGCCTGTAATCCCAGCACTTTGGGAGTCTGAGATGGGCGGATCATGAGGTCAGGAGATCGAGACCATCCTGGCCAACATGGTGAAGCCCAGTCTCTACTAAAAATGCAAAAATTAGCTGGGCATGGTGGTGTGTGCCTGTAGTCCCACCTACTCAGGAGGCTGAGGCGTTTGAACCTGGGAGGCGGAGGTTGCAGTGAGCCAAGATCATGCCAGTGCACTCCAGCCTGGCAACAGAGAGAGACTCCATCTCAAAAAAATAAAATAATAACAAAAATAACAGATGATTTTTGATAACTTATCAGTTAACAGACTGCTTAGTTAGGGTAGCACATTTTTATGCTAATGTCGGCAGGGAGGGAGGAGAAAAGATGAGAGAAAGGAAGTAAAAACACGGAGCACTAAGGTAGGCTAGGGAGATATTTAAAGTCTTATTTTGCTGAGAAAATTAGAGATTTCTCTTCCAGGCATTTTTGTCCCTAAGGTAAGGTGGAGACTTTAGTGACTTGGACTTGTTTAAACTTAAACTAGGTCACAGGAGTAGGTGAGGGGAGTAATAAAATATGATTTTTTTTGTTGAAGTCCTATAAAATATGGCTTATCCTGGACACAACAAGGAGAAACTATGGCCAAAGAATTTTGTTGAAGTGCCAGTGAGCTAATATTTAGTTTAGAATAAATCATAGACCTATAGAATCTCAGAACTGGAAGAAACCTACAATTTTGTTGGTACAACCTGTCACCTAGAGCCTACATCCCATCTTCAACACCATAATAATAAAATAACATGTATTAGTATATGACATGATATTTAAGTTTTAACATTTATTAAGTATTTATTATGTTATAGACACTTTACTACACTAATCAACCGGGTAATTAGAGTATTAATGAGAACAGTACATTTTACTTGAATAATAAAGGAAGCACAAGGTTTACCAGATACATAGAGAGGAGAATGGTACTTAGGAAATGGAAACAACAAAAGTAAAAGCTCAGAGCAAAAAGAAAAAGATGATGTACATTCAGTGAACTTCATATTATTCAATAGTAGAAGACAGATTGCATCAAGGGATTCAGAAAATTAACCTGGGCAGGAAGATATAAAACACCTTGCATGCCATGCCAAAGAAAGAGGAGCAATCACATCAAGATAGAACCAAATGAACAAAAAAACCTTATTTACATGCTGAAGAGATGATTTAGACAGTTTTTTATAAAATAGATTTAGGCGGTGGGTATTAACGCAGTTTTGTGGCATGGATGTATTTGGTTGTGGTGAAATCTGGGCTTTAGTGTAGCCATCACCCAAATAGTGTCCCCAAAAGCTTTTATCTTTGCTGTTTCCCTTTTCTAAATACCATTCTCCTCTTTATCTATCTGGTAAACTTTGCATTTCCTTCTTTATTCAAGTAAAATTTACTGTTCTCATTAATACTCTTTAATCACCCAGTTGATTAGTGTAATAGAGTGTCTAGAGCATAATAATTTCTCATCCCTAACCCATCTCCCGTTATTCCACCCTTCTGAGTCTCCAGTGTCTATTACTCCACTCTCTATGTCCATGTGTATGCGTTATTTAACTCTCACTTAAAAGTGAGAACATGCAATATTTCTGAGTTATTTACTTAAGATAATTGTCTCCTGTTCCATCCATGTTGTTGCATAACACATGATTTCATTCTTTTTATGGCTGAGTAGTACTCAATGGTATAGATATACCACATTTTCTTAATCCATTTATCCTCTAATGGACACTTTGGCTAATTCTATACCTTTGCTATTATAGTGCCACAGTAAACATACAAGTGAAGGTATCTTTTTGATATAATGATTTGTTTTCCTTTAGGTAGATACCCAGTAGTGGGATTGCTGGATTAAATGGAAGTTCTATTTTTAGTTCTTTGAGAAATCTCCATACTGTTTACCACAGAGGTTATACTAGTTTACATTCCCACACAAAATGTATAAAAATTTCATTTTCTCCTGAATGCTATTGCCTAGGTTTTCTTATAGGGTTTTTATGGTTTTAGGTCTAACATTTAAGTCTTCAATCCATCTTGAATTAATTTTTGTATAACGTGTAAGGAAGGGATCCAGTTTCAGCTTTCTACATATGGCTAGCCAGTTTTCCCAGCACCATTTATTAAATAGGGAATCCTTTCCCCATTGCTTGTTTTTGTCAGGTTTGTCAAAGGTCAGATAATTGTAGATATGTGGCATTATTTCTGAGGGCTCTGTTCTGTTCTGTTGGTCTACATCTCTGTTTTGGTACCAGTATCATGCTGTTTTGGTTACTGTAGCCTTGTAGTATAGTTTGAAGTCAGGTAGCGTGATGCCTCCAACTTTGTTCTTTTGGCTTAGGATTGACTTGGCAATGTGGGCTCTTTTTTGGTTCCATATGAACTTTAAAGTAGTTTTTTCCAATTCTGTGAAGAAAATCATTGGTAGCTTGATGGGGGATGGCATTGAATTTATAAATTACCTTGGGCAGTATGGCCATTTTCACAATATTGATTCTTCCTACCCATGAGCATGGAACGTTCTTCCATTTGTTTGTATCCTCTTTTATTTTGTTGAGCAGTGGTTTGTAGTTCTCCTTGAAGAGGTCCTTCACATCCCTTGTAAGTTGGATCATAGGCATGGGCAAGGACTTCATGTCTAAAACACCAAAAGCAATGGCAATAAAAGCCAAAATTGACAAATGGGATCTAATTAAACTAAAAAGCTTCTGCACAGCAAAAGAAACTACCATCAGAGTGAACAGGCAACCTACAAAATGGGAGAAAATTTTTGCAATCTACTTACCTGACAAACGGCTAATATCCAAAATCTACAGGGAACTCAAACAAATTTACAAAAAAAAACAAACAACCCCATCAACAAGTGGGTGAAGGATATGAACAGATACTTCTAAAAAGAAGACATTTATGCAGCCAAAAGACACATGAAACAATGCTCATCATCACTGGCCATCAGAGAAATGCAAATCAAAACCACAGTGAGATACCATCTCCCACCAGTTAGAATGGCAATCATTAAAAAGTCAGGGAACAACAGGTGCTGGAGAGGATGTGGAGAAACAGGAAAACTTTACACTGTTGATGGAATTGTAAACTAGTTCAACCATTGTGGAAGGCAGTGTGGCAATTCCTCAGGGATCTTGAACTAGAAATACCATTTGACCCAGCCATCCCATTACTGGGTATATACCCAAAGGATTATAAATCATACTGCTATAAAGACACATGCACGCATATGTTTATTGCAGCCCTATTCACAATAGCAAAGACTTGGAACCAACCCAAATGTCCAACAATGATAGACTGGATTAAGAAAATGTGGCACCATTGCCACAATTAAGAAAATATACACCATGGAATACTATGCAGCCATAAAAAATGATGAGTTCATGTCCTTCGTAGGGACATGGATGAAGCTGGAAACCATCATTCTCAGCAAACTATCGCAAGGACAAAAAACCAAACACTGCATGTTCTCACTCATAAGTGGGAACTGAACAATGAGAACACATGGACACAGGAAGGAGAACATCACACACCAGGGCCTGTTGTGGGGTGGGGGGAGGGGGGAGGGGGGAGGGATAGCATTAGGAGATATACCTAATGTAAATGACGAGTTAATGGGTGCAGCACACCAACATGGCACATGTATACATATGTAACAAACCTGCACATTGTGCACATGTACCCTAAAACTTAAAGTATAATAAAAAAAAATTTCATTTTCTCCAAATCCTCTCCAACATCTGTTATTTTTTGACTTTTTAATAATGAAGAAGCAAAGATATTTAATAATAAATTTAGCAAAGTTTTTCAATATAAGCATTAATAATAGCCATTCTGACTGGTAAAGATGGTATCTCATTGTGGTTTGAATTTGCATTTCTCTGATGAATAGTGATATTGAGCATTTTTTCATATGTTTGTTTTCTGTTTATATGATTTCTTTTAAAAATATCTATTCATATCTTTTGCCCACAGTAACCAAAACAGCATGGTACTGGTATAAAAAGAGGCACATAGATCAATGGAATAATATAGAGAAGTCAGAAATAAAGCCACATACCTACAGCCAACTGATCTTTGACAAAGTTAACAAAAACATACACTGGAGAAAGGACACCCTATTTAATAAAGGGTACTGAGAAAACTGGATTGCCATATGCAAAGGAATGAAACTGGACCCCTATCTCTAACCATATACAAAAAGTTACCATGGTTGATTAAAGACTTAAATGTAAAATCTGAAACTATATAAATGCTAGAAGAAAACCTTGGAAAAATTCTTCTGGATATTGGCCTAGACAAAGAATTCGTGACTAAGACCTCAAAATCAAATGCAACAAAACCAAAAATAGACAAATGGGACTTAATTAAACTTCTCCAGTGTAAAAGAAATAATTGACAGAGTGAATAAAAACCCTGCAGAATGGGAGATGATATTTGCAAAGTATGCATCTGACAAACGACTAATATCCAAACTCTACAAATACTCAAACAACTCAAAACAATAACAACAAAATAACTCCATTAAAAAGTGGGCAAAGGACACAAACTGATATTTTCCAAAAGAAGACATACAAATGGTCATTTCCACAGTTTTAAAGGATCAGTAGAAGATGTTGGTGGTTGCTTGATGAGTCTATGTGCAAGCAGAAATTCAGGTAAAGAACTATTTCTCCCTGATAATAGTCCAAATAAAATATACTAAAGGGCTAAATTTAGCCTGTAGGACAGAAAGGAAAAGAACTGATATAAGACATTTTTAGTACATTATAAGTTTCAGAGATGAAAGAAGTTGGGGTTCCTCCTGAGCTTCTTGAACAAGTGACTGAAAAATAGTGTATCATTAGGCACAAAGATGAAGAGAAAGCTGTGAGGGCAATGACAGGCTTGAGGGGCTCCAGTTTATCCAGGTGATGACTAGTAAGCTGTTGGAAACATGGGTCTTGAGTGGTCTGGCCCAGAGAGGTTTTGGAGAGGAGTCTTTCTCAATCCAAGTTTTAACTAATTTTTATAGAAAATGATATAAATGACCATTTTCTCAGTTCTCTTAAGGATGGTACATTATCTGTTTCATTTTTAATGCACAAGAGAAACTTTAACTCATCATATAGAATAAAGAAAGAAAGCAGTAGTGTTTCATTCTGTGAATCTTGGCTGACATGGGATGAACTCACCCAGGGAGAAGAAGAAAGAGCAAGGATCTGTGTCCTCCCAGATTTCAGAGTCAGGGAATAAGAAGCCCACAAAGTAACCTAAGAAAAGAGCAGCAAAAAAGATTGGAAGAGATGTTTGGAATTTGGATTTCACAAATTAGTGTGTAAAAACTAAAGAAAGAGAAAGTTTCAAGGAAAAAAACAAATTTTGCCAAAGTCTCAGACTTCAGGAAAAAAGATAGGGTTGTGACTATAGTATTTATTGAGTAGCCATTGAAAAGTAGATGTAACATATGTAAATAATGAAAGGCTTTTAAAATTAGATTCAGGAATTAGAAATTCACTGATGACATTTAAAGAACAGTCAATCGAGTGGTAATTTTAGAAAACAGATGTAAAAAATTTAAAGTGAAACAGAAAATATAGAAAGATTTTGGTTCAAATATAGGGAAAGTTTTCTTTTTCTTCTTTTTTTTTTTTTCTGATGCTTAGGTCAGATCTGAAATCTGTCACCACTTAACAATAGTCAGTCCATAAGTAATTTGATGTTCCTGAGACAATATCTTCCATTTTTGAATGAGCTCTGACATTAAAAATGATCCTGCTTATAGACAGCCAAATTCTGTTCCCATGTAGCTTCCACTCACCCTGTCACTCACCTGCCTCTGAGCATCAAAGGAATACGTGCAGAGCCTTCCATGAAGCATTCTTTCAAACATTTGATATAATCTAACGTTTGTTCTGAGCCACTGCTACAGATGGGGAAAACGAACAGCCTGAAGTGCCTGGCCCAGAGTTGCACAGTAGTGAGTGACAGGCCTAGAATTAGAATCCAAATAAATCTGACTCCATTCACTATCTTCCTCACGGTACAGATGAGAAAACCAAGGCCCCAAAGGGGACTGATTCAGAGACACCCACAAATCAACAGTATAGTCAGGCTATTGGATTAATGAACCAGTACTTTATTGTATCTACTGCTTCTGAGAGAGGTCCTCATGAGGCCACAAGGCAAGTATCATATGAAAAAGTATGGTTCTGTAAGTTTGTTCAACCTGTGTTTAGGAGCAGACAGTTTTAACAGCATTCTTAAGATTAAGGAAAACTGAAATACTCCTGAATATCTCACAGAGTATTTGCAGAGCTCTGGTGCTTTATTAATACTGATAAAATTCCATGAAGTGACTTTGGCCAGGATTTTATAAACTCCACAAATAAATTTTTTTTTTTTTTTTTTTTTTTTGAGACAGTCTCGTTCTGTCACCCAGGCTGAAGTGCAGTGATGCGATCTCGGCTCACTGCAACCTCTGCCTCACAGCTTCAAGCAATTCTCGTGCCTCAGGCTCTCAAGTAGCTGGGATTAATTTTTATATTTTTAATAGAGATGGGTTTTACCATGTTGGCCAGGCTGGTCTTGAACTCCTGACCTCAAGTGATCCACCCACATCTGCCTCCCAAAGTGCTGGGATTGGACTTCATTATCTTCAAATATGTCTATCAAGACATAGAAGGGATTACAAATATTTCTTTTTACTTTTTTGTTTTTTGAGTCAGGGTCTACTCTGTCGCCGAGGCTGGAGTGCAGGGGCGCAATAATGGCTCACTACAGCCTCGACCTCCTGGGCTCAAGTGATTCTCCCATGCAACTGGGACTACAGGGATGCACCACCACACCTGGATAATTTTTGCATTTTTGGTAGAAACAGAGGTTTTGCCATGCCCCAGGCAGGTCTCAAACTCCTGGGCTCAAGCAGTCTGCCTGTCTCAGCCTCCCAAAGCACTAGGATTACAAGTGTGAGCCACCAAACCTAGCCAAAGGGATTACAAATATTTCCAGCAGCAACAAGGACATTTCCTAGGACCCCACATCTTGTTTGTTTGTTTGTTTGGTGGCCGAGAGGGCAGGGAGAAAAGCAGGAGCTGCCAGTTTGGGAAAGGCATCTTATGATTTATCACGATGGCATCTCTTCCTCTTTATGTCCTCCCTCTCCTTTTCTCTCCTCTTTATTGTTAGTATCTGAAACCTCTCCAGACCTAGAGGAGTGCCAGGTGCACAGTAAACATCCAATGAATATTTGTTGAGTGATACAAATGGTCAATGGATATTGCTATGAAAAAAGGACAAGGCTGCTCTTCTCAAAATTTCCTCACAGAAAAATACAATAAAACATTCTGTAACTTTCCGGTAAAAGCATCATATAGGTGACCCTAGATATTGGCATGTGGACTTGTTTTTGCCAAATAAGTAAGTAAAGATGAGAATATTAATGTATAATTTTGTGTAATTTGCAAAGAAGAATCTATGGTATCATGAAGTCTGGGGAGAGAGAGAGAGAGAGAGAGAGAGTGTGTGTGTGTGTGTGTGTGTGTGTGTGCTGGGCAGGGGTCAAAACCTCGAGAATGTGAGTGAATGAACTTATGATGACATCTGTACACACAACCATCACATCTACCCTCAACCCCCTGATATACACACTCAGTTTTATTTTCTGGGGAAATCTGAAAGTGGCACCCAGTAGGGAGGCATCTGGATTCTGATTCTGCTGCACTGGGGTTTCAGCATGTCTTCTTCAAGGGTGAGTGGAAAGAAAGGTGTGCTTCCTGAGCTCCTCAGCTCTACTGTCGTGTGGAATTTGGGGGCTTGTTTTTAATTGGGTTACTGTCTCCTTAGTGTTCTAAAGGGCAAACGGGTCACTTTTAGAAGGTGAGAGAGTCAATGATTAGTCATTGTTTCAAACCAATTTAAACTATGCCATATTCCCAATTAGAATATCCACGTTCACACTATAAGTGCTTTAAAGTCTCTTCCAACATCAAAGTCATGATTCTTTAACCATCTAGTGTTGGTAGCTAAAGGGATCTCAACAACTATACCTGATTTATGGCCTCTTAATGTTTAACAGTTGGCATACCCCCCCATATGTTACCAACCCTGTCTGTTAATTAGAAAATGAAATTTTCTAATTTGAAACGAAACTTTCAAAGAAATACTTTGTTATAGCTGTCTAAAATATCACTTCACACACACACACACACACACACACACACACACTCATCATACTTTGATGAGTGCAGGCATTTGTTCACTCAGCATTCAGTCAATATTTGTCAACTGCCACCTCTTAATTCATGATTTGTCCTAAACTAGAGTTTCAAAGACAAATAGTATACCACCCCCAATATCCTATAAACTCATAGGCAAGTAAGGGAAAACTGATAAATAGAACTGAAAAACTAAACTGAAAAGGTTGCTTCAACAAAACAGGTAATTGTTTCTTCAAATGGGATGAACAGTTTATTCTTATGAGTTAAATAAATTGTATCTCAGTATCTCACATTTGAGTAGATGAACAGGGAAGCCTTGGAGTGAAATTTCAGATTGTCATAGTAGGAAGCCACCCTATTCTTCTCCACTGGTTTTTATTTTCTCCAATCAGGAAAAACAGTCCATAAGATGAGACCTCTCTGAAGTCTATTATCCCCCGGTTATTAGTTCATATATAATTATCTCAATTCAAGACCTTGAATTTCAACATAAAAAAGTTTAAAAGACATCAGTCAATGGGAAGAAAATCTGGGATTCTGCATATTTGTGATATAGTCACATGTCTATGTAGCAATCCAAGCAAAAGGCTGAGTTTACGGTTGTGAATCATAAGTCACATTGGTCTTCCTCTGTATACATTGCCTGTAATAAAACAATCTGCATACATTGAGTCTGATGAAAATGGAAGCTATGTCTCCTTCCTCCCATAACTTATTTTTCATTTCTCTGGACACTTCCTATCTTCGTTTGAATCATCTAAGTATATGAGTTCCTGCAGTAGATTGCCACAGAGTCCTGTATGAAATAATGGCAGTTATGGGCTGTCTCTCTAAGTAAAGCATGTAACAAAACCACCCTGAAGAGGACCCTGTACCCAAGATAATGCAAGACAGAGAGAGAAAATGAGGGAGGCACCGATTTAAGCTCAAAGTAGAAAAAAATAAAAAATAAAAACTGACTAAATCATTTTAAATTTACCAGAAAACTAATCCATTTAAATGCAGATTACTAAATGAATGTTAACAGTGTTACCTCAATGAAAAAAAAAAAGTGGTTTTACCTCAATATTTTTATTTTCATTAACATATGGTAACTAACCAATAAGAAGACAGTAAAATTACATTTTGCTTCATGGTTGGGACCAAATTAAACCTCTTCCATAAAATCAAAAAATCTAAATTGTGTCAAGTTACAGCAGTACATCAGAAACTTTTCTAATGCATAAGATTTGGAAGATGGGTCATTCGAGCTTATGGGTCAAGTTTTTAAATTTTATGATAAAATAGAAACAGTTAAGAAATTCAAGTACACTGAGCCTCAAGCACTTACTAGTCTTAAAAAAATCACACACATTCAACGTAGTCCAGGACAATTCTAAACATACTTGCTTCCTATGAAACAAGTACAAGTGAATCGTTTACTGATATAGGAAAAATACACTAGCCATTATGCCTAGCAAAATGGAAGACAGCTGTATTTCTGAATTTTATTTTGAAATACGTTTGGTGCATTGAAGGTAATAGATATAAAAAATCATTCAGTATAAAAGGTAGACAAATATTATCTAAAGCCTTTTAAAAGAAGTATGCCACTTATGCATTGATAGACTGTAAGAGAATAAATTATTACTTTGGCTGGATCTATAGTTCAAGCTTTGAATTTGCCAATCAGGAGACAAAAGAGGGACTTTATCATAATGTTATCTACCATAATAGCTCTGTGACTCTCTTAATTTGAAAAGTTCATCAAGCATACATAAATTTAGATGTGTTGGAAACATATTTCACGCATAACTGATGTGCACCTTTAAATATTGGGAACTCTATTCCATGTTTTTATCAGTAGCAGCCACTGTCTGAAAGAAAGTAACCAGATACACAGTGGAGTGAATGTGGTTCTTAAATGGAATGTGTTACTCCTTCCCACTCTACTGAATGAACTGTTAAAAGACCAAGAAGGCTGTCATAGAGATATCACAGGAAATAAAGGACTCCAAGCCAAGGGTGTGTCCAATGGGGTTGGCATGGAATGACAGACCGCCCTCCCCACATGGAAAATCTCGTCACCCATCTGAGATATCACATAACGGTGGCAGCGCTCCAGAGACAGAATGAGCTCCACCTGTTTGCAATGTGTTTAGCTATTAATATTTATGTAGTAATTCAAGGGAGTAAAAAATGACAAAATGAACCAAGTTGTATCACTGTTGGTGCTTTCAACCAAGATTTCTCAAAAAAAAAAAGTAACAGCATGAATCTGTCCTTCACTGTAGGAAGAAATTGTGTGACATCCTTAGGATGCCAAGGATTGTTAGAGAAGAGAAAGCAGGAGCCACAGCCTTGGCATGCCCAGAACCCTTATTCTACCATGACTTAATAGGAACATTTTACTATTTGTAGTTGTACTTCTGGCTCATGTAAAAGCCATAGAAATCAGAAAAATATGTTCTCAGAGTCCTGCTAATATTAGCAAGCCATATCTTTAAATTAGAAGAAAAATTCTACAAATTTCTCATCTCTTATCTGAAACAAAAGAAAGCAAAATTACTGTTGTCTCTATCAATGTCCCCAAGGATATTTTGTGTAAGGTCATGACCATTCTTAGTGGCAGCAGACTCAAAAGTGAGCAGTATTCCATGAAGTTCATTTTCTTGATGCTTATGACCCTGTGATCCATTGGTTTAGCTACACTTACTTGAACTTATTCTTTTTATTGACCTATACTCCATCTTAAGGAGATCAACTCCTCAAATGTAGTGGGAAAATAATGTGTTATCCTATTTATCCCGAAATGGCCTATTTCAAGGATTTATCGTTTGGTGTATAGCATAATGGCAAAACTCAAAACTGGATCCAAGGACATCTAAATTCTAGTTCTGCTTCTGAGCAATAAGATTGGTATGATGAAAAAATTAGGAACACTGGTATCAGGCAGACCTGAATTCTAATCACAGATCACTCCAAATTAGCTGTATGATTTCATGCATTTATTGAAATTTTTGAGTCATGATTTATTATTTCTTAAATGGTGATAATAACATTATCTCACAGAGTCTTGGTGAGAATTGAGGATTGTGGCACATGTGAAGTGCCTAGGACACTTTTGAATTTCCCTTCTACTATGTTCTGGGCTAGGACTGATTCCAACATTACTAATGTAATTTGGATAGGATACAGTGCTGGACTGAAAAATACCTAGAACTTATTTTATTTCATTTAGTTATTTCTAGCGTGAAACTTCACCCAAGAGGTCTAGAGCAGTGCCTGGTGCATAGAGGGTATTTTTTGATGCATTATATGTGTGTGTGTGTGTGTGTGTGTGTGTGTATATATATATATATATATGTGTGTGTATATATATATATACACACACACACATATATATGATATATGATGCATAATTTTTCATTTACATATGAATGGAATGTATAGACATATATATACATTTATATATAAATGGAAAAAGGCATATACCTATATGTTTATTACATAAATGGAAGGTATCCACATATATATATGCATTTTATATAAATGGAAAAAAATCCAGTGTTGGATGTATGGTTCAAATGAAGATCCTCCTTTGGAAGTTTTAACCCATCTCAATAAAACTCTGAAAGGACCTGCTTTATGTTAGGACCTTCTGGAGACCATGGAGATATCTCTTTTGGATTTAATCCCTGTGGGAACTACAAAATGGCATTGGTTTTGCCCTCAAGTTCCTTACAATTCACTTAACACTAAATTACTCAAAGCTTCTTGATGATAATTTGTTCCTAGGGACCTTTCTGACACCTACTTGCACGCTACAGCACAGAATTGCCAGCTCACTAGGATGATATTTAGACCAAGGTTAAACGGTTCCTTCCATGTTAGAGTTTAATGCTTACGTCCTAGAATGTTTGCATGCAATTCTATTCCTCTTCTTCCCTCAATACTGAAGATTTTAAGAATTGTGAATGAGTACTATGGTCACTTGAAAATACACCCCTGACCCTAGCCCCTTGCCAAAGATATCAGGTCCTCATCCTTGGAGCCTTTAAATGTTACCTTATAAGGCAATGTCTTTGGAAATATGATTAAGGACCTTGAGATAGGAAGATGAGTCTGGATAATTAGGGTGCCCCTAAGTGCTATCACAAGTGTCTTTATAAGAGAGAGGCAGAGGGAGACTAGATAGACACATAGAGGAGATGGCGATGTGAAGACAGAAACAGAGAGTGCTGTGATATGCCAGCATCCCCCAGAAGGTGGAAGAAGCAAGGAGTTAATCATCCTCCAAAGGCTCTGGAGTGAGCCCTGCACTACCCACACCTTAATTGTGGCCCAGTGATACTGATGAAAGTTGTCTGGCCTCTAGAACTGTAAGAATACATTTATCTTTAGTCACCGAATTTGTGGTACTTTGTTACAGCCATCACAGGAAACTAATATAAGTACTCATTCTTCCTCTGGAGTCTGTTTCACATTTTATTGAGCAGCCATTTGCGAGTCACTAGATGGGAGCTGGGAATGCATGTATGAGTATGTGATGGTGAATCTGACTTTAACCAGTTCCGTAGGAAAATAAGATGAATGTAACATTCTTTAGCTACTGAAAATAAAGACTTACCATCTAGACTTCTTCTGTAGACATGCCAAGCACTTCTGGACTTTTCTTTACCAGAGCAACAATCTCAAAAGCTTCCAGAAACTCCTGGTGATTAGTTTTCCATCCCATTAGTTTTCTGTTCTGATTGTCATATCATAAGCCCTTTAATAGCCTCTTATCTCTAACAATGGGAACCTCAATATCTCTCCATCCTCTTTGCCATGATACCGATTTGGGTTTTCCTGAACTACTGCCTGTTCCTCCAATACACCATCCACACTCTCATCACTGAGCCCTTATACTTATGTTCCCTCTACTGGAAACACTTTTCTCTTTCTTCTTTTCCCTGGCTTTAAGGCAAAATCACCACCCCATGCTCTGTGTTTTCATAACACCTATATAGCCTCTCTTATTATCTTTATTATTATTTGTAATAATAATAATATGGTCTAACATGTTTTCCCCAATGGACTACAAGTTCTATAAAGATAGAGACTGTGCCCATTTTATTTATTACTGCATCCTTCATGCCTACCATCAAGTGTGCCTGGCTGTCATAATAGGTGTGTTAAATAAATATTTGTTGGTAAATGGATGATCGAATGAGTGAATGGATGGAAAACTTTCCCCCGAGACTGAAGTCCCAGCTAGCATGTTTATTTTCTTTTCCAAATATGATTCAATATTTCATGCTGCCATGATTTCATCTTAACCCTAGGCACATAGGCCTGAGCCTGAAATATATTTTATTGCTACAATAAAGGTCCTGTTTCTCAAATTTGAATTTGCCTCACTTCATCAGCTTTATTTATTAAATTGGGTGTGCGTATCCTATAGCAAGTATATAGATAACATCTGCCAGCATAGCCCCACCTACCAGAGAAGGGTGGATTACAATTCCACATAAAATGAGATCTATAAAAAGTCACAAATACCTAAGACATATCTCCACCTGTTTTAGAGAACATTCCTGAGGTGGTGTTATCTTCTCGTTTTATCTACACAAGCTCTGTGGAGAAGCTACACAGAGTGGCTTAGGTTACTTACATAGCACCCTTTTGCCCTGTATTTTATAAGTTATCCTATTGTGGGAGTTGATGCCAACTTGATAGCGATCAAAATTTTCTCTCATCAAATGCCAACTTTTTGGACCCTCTGGAATTAGTTAGTGACCATAACTCATTTCTAGTGGAAAAGGCTGTATGCAATAGCCAGCTGTCTGAGCAGGAAGGAAAATGATTTGCTTTTTCAAATTGGCTTTGAAAAGTGTATCTTCTGCCAAAAGGCCTCTGGGCATGTGTATGAAACATCGAAAACAGATACAACAATACACACAAAAAAGAAATAAATCCCCAGAGTTGGCTCCCCATGAAGTAGCCAAATGGGATCTACCAATCGAACTGAATGAACCATGGAAACAGCACTCTTCTTCTCTATAAATAGCACTTCTCCATGAGAGTTGAAATATATGGGGAAAGGAGACAGGTACACATTGGTACAATCATATGAATTATGATAAAAAATATTACTGCCACACCTTTTTAAGCGGTTCTGCTATTTTTGATCACATTTTCTATTTTAGCAAAATAGTACATCTTAGAAATAGTATTATTTAAGGATCCACAAAGACTAAAAATCTTCAAGCTCTTTGAAAATGTAGAGATGCTTGTTAATTTAACATTTAACTACAGTAACTTTAAAAAATACTTTGGCATCTTGGTTTCATTATACAAATATATTCTTACTCTCTTGCTCATAGGAGAATCTAGAATTCATATTTAATGTTCTGATTAATGAGCATAAACAATGCTTTTAAGATTTTTTTTTACCTGTGTATAATCAAGCCATCTAGTTCCCAGTAACTGCAAATGTCACAGATTTCAATGGTCTCTTTGGGACTTTTAATCTGTTTGCTTTTATAAAGAAGGTGATTTTATTTTTACATTAAGGAAGCATTAACATCATTAAATGGGCTCCCACTTTATGATAACTGCAAATGTCACATTGATCCAGAAAGATAAGAAAATGTGCTCATCTTTGGAACAAATATCCAAGGCATGAGCAGGCAACCCACACTATTTGCATTAAAAAACAAATTGTATAAATGCAGAAGATTGATGTGCCATCTGTTCATGTCCTTCACTTTTCTGGCTCTACTGTGTTGAGATATTTTTATGGAATAGTTACGTTTATTATTTTGAAAATGAGCCACAGGTTAAAAAAGTTTATGGTGGGTAATATAACTCAAAGCTACTGGTTTACTCTGTTCCAGGTATTAAAGCTTGCATTATGTTACATTTCATGTTTTTAAATGTATCACTCTGTCCCTTATGTGGTCTGATGTTCAGACCAAAATAAAGTGTATACGAAATTATAAAGGATGTTTAGGATCAAATCCAAAATATCTTACTAAGACATCTCTTGGAAAGGAGAAGAAAAAAGTCCTTTAAAAATTAACGACTTCAGAAACCTCTGGCAATAGGCATCAAATTGCTCTGTGACTCCCAAGGAACATAAAGGAGTAAAACAGAGTAAATAAATACCTTTTGGGGGGAAGCACATTGGCTTTTAAAGGATGTGCTAAGGCACTACTTTCTTCATTTAATTTGTCATATAAATATCTACTAGCTCATCTAGAAGTTATGAAATTCCATTTTTCTTTTACTTTCTTTTACTCACACCACCAATATTTGCTTTCTTTTTTGAAATGGAAAAAGAAATCGCAGTTTTCCTGCAAGAAGCTTAAGGCTCCATTGTGAGTATTTTACATTTTTTGATTAATTGGACACACACATACACTCACACAAACACACACACACAAAAGCAATTGTGCAGAATGAAGCTCTCATTCAATAATCGCCCTCTGGTGGCAACTGCCTTCGACACCCTAGGCCAAATTTTTTGTCTACAGTACCTTTAAAAATTTATACAAGCCTCCTTTTGCTGTGAAAATTGTACATCGTGTGGCGTCTATATCACTGAATACCATTTCATACATGTTTGTGTATGTGAGTGATTTATCTATAGGTTCATGTTCCCTCAGAGTTTGATCTTATGCTTTTGGCATCGTTGGTTTCTGGTTAGAAAAAGAGTGGCAAAAAAAAAAAAAAGAAAGTTTTTTTCCTGAATTTTGAAACACTCCTGTCAAGTCACTAAAATCAAAAGCTTAAAATAATTTTTAAACACATAATCTTATATTTTCCAAAGGATACCTGATTTTCTTCATCCCTAACCACCAACAGTTTACTGTATTTGGAAAAGATCTATGATGGTAGCAATAATAGCGATTTCTATTTCATTGTCTTCTCAGTGAACATGTGAAAAAAATGCACGCTAGAATAATTTTTCACACCATCAATAATAAACTTATTTTATGTGACTTCATATTTAGCATGTGTAATATTCAAAAACAGTTCTTATTTTGATTTTCTTTGTTTTTTTTTTTTTTTGCAAATGAGTCACTAGTGTACATGAAAGAACAGGACATTATCTGCTGAGAAGCTCAAGCCATATCACTTAGCATGCCTGGGCTTGGGACATGCCCCATGCATCCATGGAGGTCCTCTTTGATTAACTTAGTCTAAAGAATCAAAGAAAGTTTCTAAACGAGGGAAGAGGGATCAAAGGCAGCAACTAAAATGAGTGAAGAAAATACACAGGGTAGGAAGAAGTAAGTGCTGGTTAGGATTTTCTGGAAAAAGAAGTGAAAAAGTTGTGAACATAGAAAAAGCCACTATAGAATATTTTAGAATATCTACAACTTTTTCTTAAAATTGTTTTTACTTAACCTTAGGCAATAAATTGGTCTGCCCAATGACTTCCAGACTACAAGGATAAAGCTAGAGACCAAGTTGGAAATGTGATATGGAAAACATTAGTAAAATAGAGGTTTCAGTCATTACAGAACGTAAGTGACCTTCACATTGTATATAGAAGAATGAAATGCTGTAATATAATCTGCCATAGCATTTCATAAAGGTCAGAGAAAATTCCTGTAAATCCATATTTACTCATGGAAGGCATACAGTCCACCTTGGAAGAAGCAGTGGTTAAAACAAGTTTGTAATTGCTAATATTGGAAACATGCAGAAAAATATATATAACATATATCCATATTTTTTCATTTTGAAAATCTAAAGAAAGATTTTTATTTTGCAACCATAAATTGATCAATGAAAAAGGCTGGAAGTGACTATTTTGGCTCATTCTTCCTTATCTACTTGCACAATTCCAAGACAAAAATTCATGTTGCTTCTTTTTCTGTCTGAAATTTTGTTTATAAAATAATTTCAAAGGCATTTCATCTTGGTGCATCACAGTGTATAGTTCAGAATTCTTTATGTTCACATGAGAAGGCACACACAGGACTTTAGGGGCCTATAACATAAAATGAATCTGGACACAGTTTTCTGAATATACAGGAGCACATAATAATCTTTTGACTATTCATTCTCCAAATCACAGTTGTGCATTTATATTTTGTGTCAAACACACTAAAATCTCAGCTTATTGAACTTTTATTTTGTTCTCTTTTTACTCCTTTTAGAAAGCAATATTTGGCTATTTTCCTTCGTTTTAAAATAGTAGTATACAACTGCAATGTATAGTTAGTATTCAGTACACAATTTAATGTTATATATTCCTTAGTTCACTGCTGTGTTCTTGGTACTTAGTGTCTTAAACCATGTACATTTCTTTAAACACAATATTAGAGATCTATATGTTTCAAAAGATGTAAAAGGAGATTCCATTGGTTGTTATATTTTCTTTGTATACATTTGACTATGATATTATTCTTTTTCATGCTATTTTAAAAGCATGATTTACTGGGGATTTTTAGAAATTATTAATTTTTTTATTGGAAAGAACTTGATCAGAGTGTAGTTTGAGTTCTCATTGTGAGTGTGAAGGTTACTTTAATACACATTACTATTCAAAGCTAAAATAAAATACAGTTAAAGTATGGTAGAACCATTGTCTTGAATCCTTTCTTTATGCAGGAGAAAATGCCCTTGAGTCCAGTAGAAAACTATTCCATTAAAACAATGTTGTCCATCTCTTTAAGACACTGTACAGTAATGTACCTGGATTTTATTAGCATAAAAGTTCCAAAAGGGAAGCTGCAGTATGTCTTTAAAAAAAAGAGAGAGAGAGAGAGACAGCAGCTTTTCCTGTTTTCTGTATTCTTTCCTGGATGTTAGATTAAGCTTTGCTGAGATAATGCCAGGATCTGGTTTTCCTTTAAAAAAAAAAATTCTTATAAGAGGCTACCTATTTTAACTAAGTTATATATCATGATACCTGCTTTAGATATTAAAACCAGAAAAACTTAGGGTTTTTTTCAAAGTGAATGTAAAGATTAAATATTAAATTATTCTCAAGCTTTTTCATTGCTGCTAATGCAATAAATGATGTTCATATATTTGACTTTTCAGAGAAGGAAGTGTAAGGAAGCAAATGATTCGATATAACTGTAAAATACATTAAAATATAAGTAAAACAAGCTCGGTAAATCTTTTAAATGTATGCATTAAATTTTGGTAAGATTGTCATTTTATACGTGGCAGTGTGGCAAGCAAAAAGATAGTAAGCTATGTTTATCCACACTCCATCTTGGGGTTATTTGCTACCTAAGACAGATCATTCGAATGTGAAATGCCTTTTAAAACGATGTAGACCTGTAAACTCGAAAGACGGAACAGAATCCTGTGGTTTGGGGAAAATAATGATATCACACCACCTAACACTAAGCAATTGGCTCCACAGTAAAAGCATAAAACCCTCCTACAAGTGAGACTGAGTACCAAGTCTTGTTCATACTGATCAAAAAACTTTCTCCAACAACTGAAGGAAATAATTCATTTTAATTGACAACTAAAACAGACATTTTAGAAATTCACACAGTGACTACAAAATTAAGTATGTGTGGAGATGGTAGGGCAAAAGTCAGCCAACTGCCTGTTTTAGTTAGAGGAGCATAAGTAACTCCTTTGGGTAAGCATTTTTTAGCTGAATTGACCGATTGCTTTAGCGTCACGTACAATAAGAACAAGTAACAATAGGGGTAAAGCATTTATTTTTCCATTCCTAGGGAAATAAGCTATGATGCAAGAATATTTTAGAGCCTTATTGTTTCTTTTTTAGTCTTTTCCTGTGATTTTTAAGTATACCAGATAAATTTACACAAAATTAAGCAAAATTAAAGCCTTAGGATATGTGTTTCTTTGTACATGTGTGGTTGAAGAAAGAAAACAGATAGGTGGAGGAAAAAAACCCACAAATGGTAAAATAGAAATTTCTCAATTATGCATACATATCACATTTTTATAAATAAACAAACAGGCATAATATTTTTGCATGCATATTGTAAATGAGGCTATGTTATCTTAATACTAGTATTATAAAAGCTAATACATTATGATACCTATGATTAGCAGTCTTTACAGTCTTCGAGAAGTATAAGAAACTTTTTGAAGAATAAGATAAATTATTTTGGGGAAAATAATGTTTAGGCTGGCAAGAAATTGTTCCCTAAAATGCTATCTAATGAGATCTATTCATATTATTGTTTTTCAATTTATTACAGAACTTTCGTACTCCTTTAGAACAAAAAGTTGCAAATAACTTTTCTTGAGTTTGAGGGAAAAAAATAGAAATTTTGACTTTTAAAGGTCGAAAGAACTTTCCAAGTGCAGTCTCCTCATGTTGTACATGAAATATAGTTATCTTATTTCATATTTGGCTTTGCTCTTTTTTGCACTGTTCCTCCACACTGCTGCTGCACACAGAACCCGGGGTTACGTTCCTATGTCCTTTTCATGCATTTCCCCTTTTGTAAGCACAGGGGGTACCTCCTCCTCTAACTGATTAAGCACCAAAGTTATGCTCAGAATTACATAGAATATAAAATTAGATATTGTCCCTGCCCAGTGGGCTCACAGTATCTCCAAATTTGCTGTAAAATATGTCTACATATTGTATAACAGATGCACTTCAAGTGCTAAATGTCTGGAGATAAATCTATTATTGACTTCATCCTCTCAACCTTTCCAATTTCCTTTATCATTTGTCAGCTCTCTCTATGTACATGCCCAGGCGAATGGTAATTGCAGAGCATGTTCTTCATTTTTTTCTTAAGAGGTGCCACAGTCCAAATCAGCTATGACAGATTTTGGTCCTGCACATTGTGGCACTAATAGCATTTTGACCCTAACCCGTGGGCATTTGTCTCTCTACACTTAGAGCAATGGTAGACACTCAAGTGTGTCCTATAGTACTTTCTGCCTTGTTGGAAAACTCAGGAATCTGTCCATTTTAAAATATTTTATAACTTATTTTCAAACCAATTTTATGCTTTGTAGGACACACCTATAGTGTTGCTGTTTTTTAAAAAAATATTTCATAGTTATGCCAATGCAAAGGTGCATTTATATTGTGCATTTTGTCACAGACATATATGTGATGCATGTAATTTATATACTTAAATATATAAAAGCATTGCTTTCTTGATACCTCAGTGCTATTGTACATACTTCATTTATGCAGCTATAGCTTTTGCAGACATCTAGGTAAAAATCTTAATCTCCAAGACTGCAGGTCTGTAGTATTACAAATGTTAAAATCACAAAATAATAATCCTGCTAACTTCAAGTCTGTGGATCAGTAGTTAACAATAAAATTCCTTCAGACTTTGGAGTTGAAATGTGTTTTAAGCCTGCATGAATACAACTTTTGTCATTTATTTAATAAAAGAACAGTTTTACTTCTCATCTTAAAAATAAAGCAAGAAAAAATGTAAAAATAAAATGTCCTCTTCTTCCCTCCCCTTTTTGTTTATTTCTGAGTCTTTTCTTCATTTCAAATGAGTTTTTAAACACATTTGGCAGTCAGTACCCCTAATCATTCAAAGAGTTGTGTGACAAGGGGGGAGCTGGCTAGATACCATCAGTTCTTTTAAAATGTATTAGTCTTTAACCACCTGTCTTCTCCCTCAAAATTTAAAGAGAAAAAAATATATTTTGGTGAGGGAATCAGCTTAATGATTTTATAATGAAGCTGTGGGATACATACGTTAGCATATATCATGACTTAAGACCTTGTAAACATGATGGAAATGAGCACATTTGCTCAAAGTGTGTCTTTTGGTAAAAATCATCCTTTTTACCACAATGAACCTACATGGGGCAAATGTAATTGATCATCAAGAATGAATCTTTTCTATTGCTTGCTTTGTCTTTATGGCCCAAGGTAAAGTTGTATTTTGGTTTCCATGCTAGCTTTTTTTTCTGTCCCCAGGGTTAAGAGAGCAGAATCTCACTGTTGTTACACTGTTGCCAACAATCTCTTCTATGTTCATTGACTTTCCACCTCATAAAATATGGTTTGCATTAAGACACTAGTACCTGCTGATCTATTTTATACATCCTCAGTTTGATTGCGCTCTGTCATGTAAATACATGCTGCATCCGCTGACTTAATGGTTTTAACTGAAAGGATGTCAGTAGAATTTTGAGAAAAGCTCTTTAAAGCTATAAGGCCATTCTAAAAGTAATTTGTAGCTTTCATAGCCATTAGTGAATGTTGAACTGGATGATCTGAAGCTATTTCACTTTAAAAGTGAAAACAGACATATTTTTACACAATGTGTTCCTGGCATTCATAGGATCCTAAAATCTCGAAACTCTTTTGGACTGTGTTTCCTCTTCCAGAAATGTTGACACCTTCACTAGAGGTAGGGGGAAAGTTCTGATGGTGGAGTCAAGGTTGTAATAATACCATGCAATATAATAGAGGAGGAATTGCAAATGTGCTGCCCACTTTCTGGCCCATGGATCCACTGGTAACATTCCTAGCTAGGCTGGGGAAGGAAGATGGAAATCAGAGAAGGGAGAAACAAAACAATGATGCTGAGAAACAGTTTAATTTTCCAGTTTGGGACATTTAAGACAGAGGAAGGCTGAAAAATTCAGAAAAGAAAACCTACTATTGGTATAACACTTAATAAATAATTGGTCATATTCTTGAAAAATCATAGAAATTACTCTGTGATAATCAGATTTAATTCACTTAATCAATGTTTGTTAAATGTCAACTGTGCACTGGACATTATACTGGGTCCTAGGGATGAAATGGTGAATAAAACCCCATGTAGATTCTAGTGCAGCTCACAAATGTGTGAATAAGGTATTCACACAGGTATTAATAAAATGGTAACAGAATAGCAGTGTTCAGACTTTCAGTCGTAAGATGAGCAAGTTCTAGTATCTAATGTATAGCATGTGTGGTGAGGGATGTGTGAATTCATTTTGATTGTCATTATTACACAATGTATGCATGTATTAAGCCATGTTGTATACCTTGAATATATTCAGTCTTTGTTTGCCCGTTAATTATTTTCAAGTTAAAAATAGATTCCAATTTACAAAGGGAAGATAACATGGTGCCGTGAGGGCAGATCATAAGAACCTGGGCTTGTCTGGAGATCCTGAAAAAGTTTTGATTGAGATTTGAAGAATAAATATAAGTTACATTATCGTTCCATCAACATTAAAAGGTAGAAATAATAGAGCAGACACATTAATAATAAAGCTAGGCTTTTGCTTTGTGTTTATAGGTTTAATAAAAGGAAACTAAAGGCTTTATGTATCTCAGATTACTGTTAATTCATAACCTCATATGCTATTCAGATCTCACAATGTAACACTCACAGGCAGTAGTTTTACTATATATCTATAAACTTCAGTTTTCAGTTTAAAATCTCAGATGTTTCCATTTGCATTTAGCTACAAAATTGGCAAGAATATTATCATCTCTGATCCAATTTTTTTAATGGAAAACTAATTTTGATTTATGGGGTGGCAAAAATATAAACATTTTAGATAAATCTTTTGCCAATTTCTAGATAAAAAAATGGTTTTAACTGTTAACTTTGGCCTTTTGAAGGATTATTTTTAACTGAACATGTCAATGTTTTCACCCTATTATGTTTCTCTGTGTAAAATCACACAGTATTACCTTGTTCTGTTTCATAGTACATCGTAACCTTTTCATGAGACATTGGCATTTGCGTCCCTCTGCAATAATAGTCACTGTCTAATGAAGCCAGAGTCTTCATGTCATTACCATTTGTTCAGGCAAATGTGCGATAGTTATTAGCACATTACACAAAACATGGAAACTCTTTTAAAATACATTTAATACTTTATGTGATTGCTTTAATAAAAAGAAACAAAGATACTAGTGAGAAACATTCATGATATATCAATATCAGCATTAGCACTCATTTGTTGGTAGTGTGGTGATACCAGTTAAAGGCATCTAGAAAATAAGAAAGCTAGTTTAGGAAAAAAATTCCGAGCTCAGGATCTTTATGGGAAATAAACTCTAAGCAAGTTTAGAACGCCCAAGGCTCTTAAAGTTTCCCTAGGTAAACTATGCTGATTACTTCTAAATTCTTGCCTTCTAATGTTGTTTTTTCCTTTTCAATATTATTTTTTACTAAGTAAATTAACATTAATAATAAAAATACTTCCTTATTTAAGACAATACAATTTGCCAAACTCTCTCATTGAACTCTGGTCTTTCCCTTTCAAAGCATTTATCAGAATTTATAATTATGATCTCATTTGTTCATTTGCTTTTTTCTTAATTAACTTTGTGCAAATATTTTAATAAGTAATATACTATGTCAGCTGACCCTTACCAGTTTTATAAATCAGTCTGAAAAACCCATTTTAAACTGTTTTAGTGCTCAGTGCTCACCTCAGTGTTAGTAACTTTTGATTCTTTTCTTTTGATTATGTTACATTTACTGCTTACATTAAATATGATGGAGGACCTTACTTCAAAGCCTCTTAAATTTTAGTTTTACATTTTACCTTTTCAAAATGTGGTACACATATGTATACATAATACATATATGTTCATATATGCATATGCACATATATGCATAAGCACATATATAATTTTTAACAATTAGAAATGTCTTAAAATGTACATGCATATATATATACACATTTTTTCTGTTATATTTGTTTAAAATTACATATATGTATCTGTATATATAATATATATACACTGTCTATATATAGACAATTAGAAATGTCTTTTTTAAATTTAAAATAGTATTAAAATTACAAAGTTTATGGCAACATTCTGGCAGCTTTATTGAGATATATTATATATAAAATTCAATAATTTTAAGCGTACATTTTTATAACTTTTGACAAATGTGTTTAGTCTCATGACCCCCACAGCATAAGTATGTGTAACATTTCTATCATCCACATAGTTTCCTGGTACCCATCTACAGTCAATTCCCTTCCTCTGCTTTCTATCACTCTAGTTTTGTCTTTTCTAAGATTTCAATATTGGTCACCTTTTAAAAACGATTTCTTCAACAAGACTGTAAGCTCCCTGAGATTAGGCATTGAATTAGTCAACAGGCAACTGGATTTGAGAATTGAGAAGGAAGAGTCAGACACACAGACTTGGTGAAAATTACACTTCACAGCAGCAAGCTTGAAAGACACAAGGACAGCTGAGAACATGAGTTGAGTGAGTATGATTCTCGAATCTTAGTTTCTCCCTGAGACATATCCTGTTGGCTGTGATAATTAAGCTAAATGAGATAGATGCTGCCACTTTGTATAGACATTAATCAAACTCCTGTGTTCCCTGTCACATCATCCTGAAACACTGTCAAAATTGTCTCGTGTGTTTGCCTCCAACCTTATATGTTTGAATCTAAACTTTGTATTTCCGGTATGATTCACTATGTGTTATATTATTATTATTTTTATTTATTTATTTATTTATTTATTTTTGAGACGGAGTCTCGCTCTGTCACCCAGGCTGGAGCGCAGTGGCGCTATCTCGGCTCACTGCAAGCTCCGCCTCCTGGGTTCACGGCATTCTCCTGCTTCAGCCTCCTGAGTAGCTGGTACTGCAGGCGCCCGCCACCACGCCCGGCTAATTTTTTTGTATTTTCAGTAGAGACGGGGTTTCACCGTCTTAGCCAGGATGGTCTCGATCTCCTGACCTCGTGATCCGCCTGCCTCGGCCTCCCAAAGTGCTGGGATTACAGGCGTGAGCCACTGCGCCTGGCGTGTTACATTATTTTCAAGTCAACTAACAACCATTGGCCTTTATGTGTGTGGGGGTGTGCTACAATGCTGAGCAATCCAGGCCTCTCTGCACTGATTTATCTGCCTCATGACTTGACTCAGGAAGGATTGAGCAAGGCTGTCCTAACCAAGATCTCTCTGCGCCTATTTAATTCGTAGCCATGAATTTAGTGTTCAGCACAGGTCTTGCATATAGTAGTTATTCAATAAAGTTCTAGTGAATGAGTAAATGTGAAGCCTCTGTTTATTCATCCGTAAAATGGACTGAAACCATCTAGGTAAAAATGTATGTAGAATATTTAACATGGTGCCTGGCACATATTTGGTAAACACAGATAAAATGTTTATTGCTGTAATGACTAGAATAGCTCTGCAAATTAGAAGTCTAGATTAATTATCCAGATGATCCAAGAAGGAGCTTTTTAGTTTGTCTTATTCTCGGTTTTTCTTAGACTTGGGAAACTCAGCTAATTGAATGGCTGCATATATAATAACTCCACAACCACAGTTCCTACTTCTCAATTACTGGGTGATTGACAAATGTATTGGTCTAAAGAGTTTCATGAGTTTCACAGATTTTAATGAAATCTCCAAGTCAGCTTGTACTTCTGCCTGTGACTCTCTCCATGTATTTTTGTAGAGGGTAATGCCCCTGATGAATCGCCACAAAAAGTGTGGGTTTGTGGGTTTGTGTGTTGCCAATGTAGTTGTGCCTGAGAGCTTGGCATAGAGGGATTGTGTTTAATCTGCTCAGTGGGGTTTTTATAACCTTGTGGATCTATTATTTAAAGTTGAACGCTTGCAGTCAATGCTCATCCTCTTGTTACCTTGTTCTTGTTTACTCGTCTAATGCACATTTATTAAGTGCCGCTGTCAGGTACTTTGTTTAGACACTGTCTGGGAAGCCCTCAAATATAAAACTGATTTTCATATAAAATTTAGAGTTAGAAAGGACATTAGAGATCATTTAGTCTGAGAGATTAGAGAAATGCCCTGGGAAGTTAAGGGTAGAGCTGGAACCTTCAAGGTCTCTTAGAGTTCCCTTCCCACTCGGCTTCTGTTTTACTTTCCCTTATCAACAGGCAAGGCATATAACTCCCTAAAAATTGCAATATCATTTGCCACTATTTTTTTTAATTAAAGGATTTGTTTTCTTTAGACCCATTACAATGTGTTAATTTGGAGTACCTAGTTTGTATAACTTCTGCCACATGACCAGTGTCATCCTCTCATTACTTGCATCTATACCTCTATCTTCTGTTAATGTCCTCTAATTCAGGGAAAAGAAAAAAGAAACTAAATTTGTACACAAAATTCCCTCCCAAATATTCAAATACAAATTAGACAAAAATGTTAAAACTAAGTAGAAAACAAACCCAATGCTAAATGTTGAATTTCCTACATGCCTATTCTCTGGTGTCTTTCCATTTTTACATGTGATAGTTTCAAATATAAAGAAAAAATGAAAACATCAAACTTGTTATAAATCTGGCTTCTTCCTCATACTTCATCTTTGACTTAAATATTAGTTACTTTATTTTAATGTCATGGTAGCATGACTACTGATGATTCATAACCAATTGACCTAAACTGTTCAGTTCTGTGAGGCATTCAGTTGGGGGTGCCTCCTGGAACTTTATCCTGGTCAATTCAGATAACCTAAAGTTGCATCAATAACACACAGATAAAAAATTTCACATAGAAAAAGGAATAATCCTGTGGTTGAAGGAGGCCATGGGCATGAAAAGTGGGAATGAAAAATACAGTGTCCAGGCATATAAAGGTTTAGAAATGAGATTGGTCAAGTTAAGACTCAGGAAGAACACATTGTAATAGGCTAGAGTTTGTGTTCATAAAACTTAATAGTGTTATGAAAATGTGAGTGATAGACAGGAGGCAATTTTTTAAATGACAATTGTATTGGAAACATTACTTTTGCTTAATTAAACTTTTTAATTGTAAAAATGAGACATGTACCAGGTAAACAAACAAACAAAAACCAGTGTGCCAACAAATGAACTGCATAATGAAAATAACTATCTGTCCACTTTAGCCCCTAATTCCACCCCCCCAGAGACAACCACTAATGCTTCCTTCAGTGTCCTTTTATCTACCTTCTGAATGTTCCCAGTGCCCACTGAGGTCACGTCACAAATGCTTGAGATAATATTATAGTTTCAACATGACGCCCATGCAAGCAGAATGATTCTTGCAAGCCCTTTAAGGAAACCTATACATTTTTCACATTTCTAGGGCATCATTTCACAAACCTACTTTAAAAACCATCCAAAATTGAACATATTGGAGGCAATCAGCCAAAAATCAAGACTACACCATGTTAAGCATTAAGAGCCAAGAAGAGTGACTGGATGTCATGTGCAGAGCTGTGAAAACCCAGCCCATCTTGACAAAAAATAGATTTACTGTATACCGTGTACTGTAAATGGCAGCATGTGGAGCGAGCAATCGCATCAGCTGAAAGCAACTCTGTGACATGCCACATCGCAAGCTCTGCAGGGCTGAGATGCAGATGAACTTTCTGGTTACTTTATGTCACAAACCATTTTTTGGGTATGCTGTACTGATCAACTCATGAAGGTGTATGTTTTTCAACTCATGTCAGCTATTCTATAAATCAGAACAAAAAGGCTTGGGTACAGTGAAATTGTGTAGCTAACTCATACCCAGTTCTCTTCGAGTTTGTGGTATGACGCATCCTGGTATGGGATAAATTCTGCATTCCCAGGAAACAATAACATCAAAATGGAGTCAAAGTGTTGTTTCAGCATTAAATGGCAGATACTCCAAATGCCAGTATTTTTATCACCTTTAAATTCTATTATTTCTGAAAGTGAAGAGAAATATTCACAGGGAGAGAATCTGACTTTGGATCTCATACATTCCTAACCCACAGCAAAATGAAAAAATGATCCTGAAAAGTTCAGTAATTTTAGGCCATTTACTCTGTACATAAAACACAAAAGGGTAAATATCATTCAGGGTTATTTCCTTTCTGTCATTGTAGATGTTTCTCACAGAGCCAAGAGCTCCTGGCACTCCAAAATGCTAAGGGCTCCTAAAATCAGTTGGTGTACTTTTCTTATTTAATGAAGAATGTTATTTAAACAGCATTTTCCACTTGAGAATTAAGCAGTGCATGGTAACTTTAGATATAATTACTACAATGATAGGCTATTGTCATGTTTGAGTGTTATTAACACATGTTCTAAATAATCCAAATGTAATATGATTTACATGATATTAGATGATAAATTATACTTAAAAATATACTAAATAGTACACATAGCATATATTATATATTTCTTTATATATTATTCATTATACTATATGCTTTATACTAATATATTTTATTTTATGCTATATATACATATATTATATAAATAAAATATATATAATTATGAAATAATAGTATATATAACTCTTAAACCTATTGATTTCATGTTCACAGTTTTTCCTTAAAATCAAAAGCACTTAAGCTGTGTTCAAGAACTCAATAAATTATTAACAGCAATATTTCAATTTAAATACTTAACTTGAAAGCCTCAAACTGTATGCATCGTATACCCAGTGGGGTGTTTTTATCAGAAGTTATTGAATATCCCATGCAGAATTATACTTTGTGTTTAGTACGAACAAAGAGAGTATTTTCAAGAAAGCATAAGAATGTTTTTGCACAAGAATGTTTTCTTGTATATTTGTGTTCATTATAAGTAGAAAGTCTGCAAGTGCTGTTACAACATTATTGTACAGCAGCCTTCAAGAATACAGTATTGTGAAAGATAATTGCACTTTTAATAGTAGTTTCCTCTTCTTACTTAAAGAAAAAAAAAAAAAAAAACATATATTTAGCCAGATACCAGGCACACTAAGTTTAGTTCACTTGGCAATGCTTTAACCAGCTTTTCTTCATAATCTTTGTATTTAAAATAAATCCAAAATAAAACCCAGATAAGCTATAATTCAATGAGCATCTGAGCAATGACTATACATATCCTGTTTTAACAGAAAAATATATTACAAAGATATGATCAATTATTTTTTTAATGCAATGTACTGAAATGGCACAGAATAAAACCACATTGGTCTTCATTTTATCTGAAAAATAAAATTGCTGGGAACCAGTGGTGACTGGGGAGAGGAAACCTACCAAGAATTGGTTCCTGGGGAGAAACAGCTTTCTAATAGCTGTATTATAATAAAATAAAAAGAAAGTGGCTAACACAGCATTTCTAAATAACAAGGCAATAATGACATGTTAGATCATTCCATATTTAAAACCACAAATTGAAAATGAATAGACTTTATTTCATCAAGAGATTAAACTTAAGCCTTTCTTTTCCTAACCCTTTCAACAAAGGACACTTAGAGGTCAGAAGCAAAGTGCTACTTCTTCATTTCTCATGGAACAAAGTATTTTCAAAGTTCATCAAAGCTTTATCTTCTGGAAGGACTTTGGGGGTGGCATGTGCGTTGCAAAACACAGACAACTTTTCACTATTTCTATCCTATTTTGGTCTATGTGGATGGGGAAGGAGAAATCCTTCTATTCCATTGCCTCAAATGTCTTAGATATAATTTGGTTGTTCTGCTACCTCTTTATAGTGATACTTTGTAATGTGCAAACACATTGTGTAAAAAATAATAGATTTGAACCTTAATACCTAATTACTACCCTAATACCTAATTACTAACATATTTTTAAAATCCATTTACTTCTTTCTTGAGTTAGGACTCACAGCAGTTTCTTTGAGGGAGAAGAATGAATAATTTTACTTTTGTTATTATTATTTTTTAATAAAGACAGCTGTCTTTCTAAGAACTGCATCTATCTCCCAAACTGTCATTCAGAAAACAAGCAAGATTCCAAGCTAAGGCCTATGGAGTTCATGATTTAAATACTTCTTTACAAGAAGTTGAATATTATATAAGCTACCATTTTATGGTTATTCATGATGTGGACGAGGGTATGGTGGGCTTTGAGGATCCAAATCTTTCCATATTCCTCAGGCAGAAAAAAAAAATTCTCCAGAGTAGGCAGAAGGTCTTTGCCTGCCCTCAAGTTGCTTCCTCCCCTTAGAGTCTCCAGTATCCAATTTAACAAATATTTTCTGCAGCTCCTTTGTATTCAGCTCACATTCCATCCATTCCTGTTTATTTGTCTTTAATGTTCCCTCTAACACAAACAAAATTGAAAAATAATTTGGTTGAAAATTAGCATATGAGACAGGGGCCCTGTTTTCAACAGGTCTGTGTGGCCACTGTGGTTCCTATAAGCTTAGAATGATTACAGTTTCCTTGAATGTTTCTTATTGTTAATACAAGTCTCATTTCTTTACAAATGAGGTTCAGCAATTTATTTGCTGTCTCCTCCTTACAGTCTGTGATATGTTTTGTGTATCACTCTTCAAATGTAATTTTTTAGTTGGTATAGCCTGGTAAATCCAAACTTTGTCATTCCCACGGTTTGATTAGGGGTTTTATCATGTGAAGAAAGGCCACTTTCTTTACAAAGGAAAATAAAGACATTAACAGTTATGTTTTCATTCTGTGCCATACATTGAACAGGTGATGAACAGATCTTAACTCCTTTAATATTTGCCATACCTTATGATCTATAGATATTTTTATTCTTATGATATCAATATGGAGGCTGGGGCACAGAGAGGTTAAGTAATTTGTCTAAAGCCAGGAGGTATATGTGAAATCAAATTTGGCCTCTGTAATGTTGCCTTCCTGGTTTTTAATGAGTAAATCAAGTTGTTCTTTTGATTCTACCATCTTGATGAAGAAACTATGTTGTTAACTAAAAGAAAGAAAAACAGTATTTATTTAAAAACACTCTCACCAAATATTTTTAAGTTATTTAGCTTTTCAAATTTCGTTAAACAGCAACTATCCATAAGTTCTTAAACATTATCCAATTGTAATGTCATATATGAGGCTATAATAGCAAATAGTCTTTGGCAGTAAGATTGTAAAATGTTGCAAGGAAGATACAGTCTTATTTCTTCTCTGATAATCTTTAATAAAGAAGATGTTAAACTTACTCCTTACTGTATTACCATGATTTTAAACTCTCTTACAGTCATTTTTTTCCCCTAGAGTTGAACCTCAATCCTTTAAAAAGGTATCCTGGTTAGTGCTGACTGATCAAATGTGTGAGTGATTTTCTACTCTGTTCTAAGGGGAATGATTTGCCCCTTAAAACCATTTTTGATTCTGTGCCTTAGGATCTAGGCAAAATGTTATAAAATACTAACAACTATGGAGTAAACTTAAAGTCAGTGTTTATTATTACAATACAATTTTAAAAATCATGTGTTAATATAAGTAAAAGTTTAGCCTCCATGACTTGTGATTATAGTATTTAATTAAGTTTCATATTCTATTTGGAGGAAGATAAGAATACAGGAAAAAGTATTTCTAAGGCCGAAATAAAGAGGTGAGGCACAGTGCAGGAAAATGGGCAATATAGTGTCTGGCATAAGTGTTTATAATTTGTAATAAGTGTTTTTTTAAAAAACAAAAAACAAAAAACTAAATGCTTTTAAAAAAATTTGAACACTGATAATATTCTTAAATGAGTATGTACCTGCACAGGATCTAGCATGGCTCTTGGTACATAGTAGATGCTTTAGTAAATGTTTTTTGTATCAAAAAATCAAAAAAAAAAAAAAAGAAGAAGGAAGGAAGGAGATGGAGATAAAATTTAAAATTAAAAACTAAATGGGATCAATTATTTATCAATTACTTAGATGTTTTTTAAATTATTATAATAGATGTTAATAACACTTTTTTTGCTTCTCTAGTCTAGATTCCTTCCTAAAGGAATTCCAGACAAGAATCTCTGCTCCCACTGAGAAATGGGCAAAACAATCATGTAGAATTTTTTTTTTGATAGTTAAAAATAGCACCTTCACTTTTTACTAGGGAGTTAAAGACCAGAGTTTAATCAGAAAAGCAGTGACTTATTTCAATAAAATCCACAAATGTACATCAACCGCCTAAAACTGGTAGTCTGAAGAAGACAACAATAAACAAAATATAATAGCTGCCCTCAAGGAGGTTGAAATTTTGAAATAGAATGTAGTCACGAGCATAAATGACTATTACCAAAAAAATTCCACTTATGAAGTTCTCCAAAACACAGAATAAACACAGTGTGTAGACTAATCTAGACATAAAGTTCTGAGCTGAGAGCCAGGAGAGACCAGGATTATAGGAAGTTCGCCTGATGACTTTGGACCTTCTGTTCTTCAGTTTCTCTGCTTGGAATACTGGAGTATTAGTACATGCTATACATTAATTTTTATGGACATATAAAGATGAATAAATGTGTATCAAAGCAATTTTCTCTCTTACAATGAACGTTATTACTCATGTAAGATATTAGAATAAATATGTATTCCTTTTAAAGGCATTCCAGGAGCTCAATGAATTTAGGTTTAGTTGGGAAAAGCTGTTTGTATTTGTCAACAAATCACTGTAGGCATTGACATAAAGGAATCAAACTCTTTCAAAATGTTGTCCGAATGGTTCAAGTGATGTTTCTGATTATAAAATGACTTTTCTGCTGATGGACATTTCCTACTGTGTTTGTCAAATGGTAGGTTCATGGCTTAGTCAGGGACAAAGTTATTAAGGACATAAAACGCCATCTGGATGGAGCTAATAAACATAAAACATAACCTTCAGATACACTGCTGCAGTGGCCAGACTGTGCCAGGCCAGATTACCCTCTGTTTGTTTAAATACAAGCCATGTTCTAAGCTTTCGACTGTGCTAGCTTTAGATGTTTCCCCTTGACTCAAATGTACAGAGTCCATGAGGTGAACAAATTCACCTTGTATATCACACCAGGCTATAGATTTAATATCTGTATGACTGATGTGACATGTCTAAGCTATTCTTCCATTATTTTCTTCAGAAATTTCCTGAAAGAGTAACTTCATTGACTTAGTAAGAACTCATAAAATTATATAGGGAAATATATCTCACACTGTACAAGCTTTCTTTTAGTGGAGTCCAAGGAAATAAGCATTACAACCAGAAAATCCTGACCCTTGAAAAACATGTAAGTCCCTTGTAAAACATTATCTCCAACACAATATAATCATGCACATGCTAAGCTTCAGGACCTAAGCTTGATTGCAGTAGAAAAATCGATATATTTCTACATAAGCTTGCAATAATCAGTGGATCTCTCTCTCTCTCTCTCTCTCTCTCTCTCTCTCTCTCTCTCTCTCTCTCTCTCTCTCTCTCGTATGATACAAATTATTAAAATTGCCAAAGACTCCCTGAAAGTTGTTTAGCATCATGGAATGTATTAAGATGATTAATGACAAATTATTAGACAGTAGGGAGCAGATTCTTGAATAATATTCCATAGAAGGACCTTCTCACAAAAGTCAAGGAGATTGTACCATGCTGTTTACCTGATGTCTGACTGAACCTCTGTCATTAGAAGAAATGTGACACCCATGGTGGAAACTGTGTTGTGCCACCTAGGTCCCCATCAGGAGTGAAAGACTTCTTTCCCCAGCTGATGGGAGTGTTTCTGGGAGACAGTCCTCAGCTGTCAGCCATTTTCAGGGATTGCCTCAGCTGATTGCGTCATGCAAGGTCATGCCTCCTTGCCAAATCATCCCACACCCAGTTAGGGGTATAAAAGCCCAGCCCTCTGACCAGAACTTGAGTTGACTCTGATGCACCATCCCACTTTCAGGCTTCTGTTTTGACTGTTTTGTAACACAACTTCTCTCTCTTTCTAATCCTACTTCCTTTTCTTCCAGAGGTATTAATCCAATGAACATTCCTCAATAAACCTCCTGAACACCCATGTCTGCCTCAGGATCTGTGTATTAGTCAGGGTTCTCTAGAAAAGCAAAATCGATAGGATATATGTAGTTATGCAGAAAGAGATTTATTACACAGGATTGGCTCACACAACTGGGGAAGCTGAGAAGCCCCACAGTCTGCCAACTGCAAACTGGAAGCTCAGAAAATCTGGTGGTAGAGTTCCAGTCCAAAGCCAAAAGCCTGAGAAAGAGGAAAGCCAATAGTGGAAGTCCCAGGCTGAGTCCAAAGGCTGAAGAACCAGGAGCAGTAATCTCTGAGGGCAGGAAAAGATGAATATCCCAGCTCAGAAATGGGAATTTTCTCCATTTCCCACCTTTTTGTTCTACTCAGGTTCTCAACAAATTGGATAATGCCTACCTGAATTGGTGGGGGTGACCTACCTTACTCAGTCTACCAATTCAAATGCTAATCTCCACTGGAAACACCCTCACAGACACACCCAGAAAGAATGTTTGACCAGCAGTCTGGCATCACTAAGCTCAGTCAAGTTGACACATAAAATTAACCACCACTGTCTACTTTCTAGAAAACCCAACGTACAACATTAATCTAATCTTCTCAGAGATAAAGAGAGTAAATTCCACCAGCTAGGATGCCCTTTTCAAACTCCCTTCCCCTTCTTCTCAGCACTCACCAAGGGAGAGATATGTGCACTCAGTCTGCAGATATGGCCTAGATGCTAGTCAGCACTGGAAGAGTTAAATAGATTTAGTGACTAACAAAGTAGGATTATTTTTAAAAGGAAAATCATAAAACACTATGAGCCATGCTATGCAAATTGCCCTGAAAGCGACGGCAGTAAAGGCTGACTACTCAGCAACATCAATCCATACCCACAGGCCTCTGCAATTAGTCTACCATGGTGAAATTGCAGCGACAGACACATGTTTCATTCTTCATTTCTGTGTAGACTCAACATTTGAAAATTTCCTCTCTTCCTAAGTAAGAGGCATTTCATTAGATCAGAATGACAGCTATATAGTAAGAGTTTTAAAGCAAAAATGCAGATTACAAGTGGGAATGCTATGCAAAATGGTGATTAAATTAATTATGAGGTCTTTTTAAAATTTTCAAAGCCACATTATGTTAATATTCCCCAATAGATTAGGAATCTGAATGTTTTTCTTTCAAATGCTAACAGCATTAGGTAGGATTATCTCGATGTCTAATGCTATTTGGTTATTAATATTTTCCTTACACTTATTTATTTTAGTAATCCTGTCTTTTGTTGATTGACTAAAGTTAATTGTCCTCATGAAGACGTACATTTATGCTACCAAAAGACAGAGCTCTCCAGACATGTATTCTGTGAGCCTACTGTGACCTCAATCTTCTCCTGAAAGCATTTACCCTTTTGACATTAGTCACGTGGAACTTGATGCCATTGCTTACATTGCTGTTCTATTTGTTGTAATTGGTTTTCTACTTGATACCACTTTGACTATTGAATCCTCTCTCACTGAATTGCCAGTCTTTTCAGAGCCAAGATGTTTCTTCTGCTTCTTGGTAGGTTTTATAGCACTTTCCAAAGTAGCTCAAATGTGGGTAATGCTTGATCCATATTTTGCAACTAATTTTTTATCCTATTTGATTACAGACAATTTTATTTGTGTCTCAGAGACTGAGCAGTTGAATGGAAAATTCAATGACATGATCTCTGTCTTCCTTTAATACCATGGACCACTCTCTCATTCCTGACAGACCTCTCTTCTCTGGGCTTTTGGGATGCTGAGCTATTCTAGCTCACGTTCTGCCAAGCACCTCACATGTCCGGCTTCCTTTCCAGCTCTCCTCTTTCTTATGTTCCCTCACTACACAAGCCAGGCACTCTGCCAGGTGTTGAAATCTAAAGATTAATAACCTTTAATACCTATCCTCATCCACAGAAACTTCTTATTTTAGAAGGAGAGACTCCTGCATTTCCAGCCTTTTATATTTTACTTATTTAACAAAATATTTACTCAATATCTACTATGTGCCACAACATTGTGTTCTAAGGGCTGAGGTAAAACGAGAAAAAGCAAAATCCTACTCTCATAAAATTCTGATGGGAGTCGAAATGGAGATAGACAATACCCTAAAAAGATCAGTCAAATATAAGGCTTTTAGATGATGGCCGTGTAGTAGAACTGTAGAGAAGATACTGAAGCCCCTGTAAAAGTGACTGGTATTAGTTAGTGCATATAGTATTTATTGAATAAATAAAAAATAGCGACAAGTACTATGAAGAAAAATAAAGTGGAGGTAGGGGATAAAGATGGTGAGTACGGGGCTGCAACATTACACAGGGTCATCAGGGAAGACCTCAAGGAGAAGGTGACACTGGACTAGGACCTTCAAGGAAGCAGGGCACAAAGGCTTGCAGATGCCTTTGGGAGGAGCATTCTAGAATGAACAAGCAGTTAGCACAGAGCCTGTTCAGCAGAGGCATGCTAGGTGTGTCTAGCAACAACCAAGAGGCCAGTGTGGCTTGAAAAAATGAGAGGAGTGTAGAATAGTAGGGAGTGTGTCACCTTCCTGCTGCCTCTATTACTATTTAACTTCTATTTTTAAACCAATTCCAAGTTCTAATAATCATTTGCTTTCCTTACATGTCCCAAACACATTTGAGTGACAATCTGTTTTAACGTTTTAGTAAAAATTGTTATCAGACATATTGGTCTGCATTTTGTAAAAATTTTCCATGATTCTTTCTTTGAAAACTGATTGTTATTCATTTCCAGTCTTCTGGATCCTCTCCATCCCCTACTATTCCTCAAGGGTTATCAGCAATGGTTCTGTGATCAACATTTCTGAAAATCTGCGGATGTAATTTATCTGAACTTCATAGCTTGAACTTGTTCAAAGTGGAACTTGAGTGGAGAAGCATCCCCTTAGCCTGATGGACGTTTGTCTTCAGTCCTCTCTTTCCATCATGTCTATACTGCTTTTCCAGAGCTTTCTCTCCACATTTAAAACTCCCTCGAGTGGTAAGGTACCCCTTCTGTCTTCTTGTTCAGTGTAGGTGGTCTGAGGGCCCTCTCTGGCATCATGATCACAGCTTTTCTATACTTGTTTCTAATTCTATCTTTTTCCTTTTATCTTGGTAAGAATTCCTTACAATCTTAGATGATCAGAAAACTCCCTGGGTAGTTATTTTCATTTTCTTTGTATTTTCTTTCTTTTTTTTTTCACACTTGGATGCGTCCTACTTTTTTACTTCTATAAATCACAAAGATTATATTATCACAATGTATTTATTGAGGTACTTCCAAACTTCCTGATCCATTTTCCTTTGAGGTGATACCTGGCAACTTTTAAATGGTTAAAATAAGGCAGGCAACTTAATTGATTAAAACGGCCTGGCTGGAGCTTTGTTAAACTGGAGAACTTCCTGTGGAAAGGTGGCAGCCGATGCTCTCTTCCAGTTCATCAGCTGGATGGTACCAAAGTTGGCTACTTTTCAGAGAAGCTGAAGCTCCAGAATTTTTACACACAAGTTGCATTAGTTTCCTAGGGCTGCATGGCTTAGTGACTTAACTGAGTGATTTCAACAACAGAATTTTCACACAATCTTGGAAGCTATAAACCCAAGATCAAAGTGTCAACAGAGTGTGTTCAATCTAAGGGCTGTGAGGGAGAATCTGTCATGCAACTCCTGTAGCTTCTGGTGGTTTGCTGGCAAACTTTGACTTCCCTGGCTTGTAGAAGCATCACCCTCATCTCTGCCTTCATCTTTATATGTTGTTCTCCCCATGGGAGTGTCTGTATCTAAATTTCCCCTTTTTATAAGGATCCCAATCATATTAGATTAGAGGCTTGCCTTGCTCCAATATGAAATCATTATCTATGAGGACTTCTTTTCCATGTAAGGTCACATTCTAAGGCACTGGAGGGTAGGATTTCGGCATATGCATTTTTGGGAGACATAATTCAACCCATAACACAAGTTATGTTAGCAACCATTTATCACTTATTGTTAATCCCTGAGCAGTTCATGCAAAATGTACCTCCAAGCCAAACTCAGCTGGTGGGTCCAAAGTTTACAACTTCTGCTTCAGTTCTTAGTCCTGGGATCTGTTACTGTGCTGAATGTTGTGTCTTGTGTGTACCTGACACTTAAATCACTTATTTGGACATGTCTAAGATTATTCACTTTTAAAAATGCTAAGACAACACAGTTCCTTGCCACCAAACTCCTATTGTGCCTGTTTCCCTAACCTGGTCTGTCCTGACAGTTAAATATGTATTAATATTATGTATGAATAAGTCCTCCGGGCTTATTCACCACAATGAAGGCTTATGTGGGGGCCTCTGAGCATTGCAGTTCTTTATTGTAATGAAGGGTATTTTTGTGCTTAAACTTTTTTGAACCCAGATATTCCCAAACTGTGAATATTTAGTCAAACTTCATTCATACATATCTTATTCTGCATATTGCATTATAAATAATTAAGAGGAAGATAAAATTATAAAATGTTCAAGATTATTTATATTTACAAAATATCATGTTATAACATTCCTTCAAATATAAGAATGTGATTATATGATGGATTTTTGTAAAAAGGAACAAAATGAAATTCCACTAGCAATTAGGAAAAATGTTGAACTGTACATTTTAGGCTAAGAGATTAAAAAAAATATTTAGTTGTCATTTAGTTGTCTGTCCCTCTAATGAGTTGGGAGATGAAAGAAAGTTTTCTAAGTAGCTAATTATAACTATTAAAATTGCATGAGGCGCTTTTTGTTTTAGCTATAGAAATTCAGCTTGCAGATTTTCACAAATTTCTATCTCTAGAGAAAATAAAGATACAAACAGGAAATTCCTCTCATTATTTCCTTCTCTTGGAAGTTTGCTGTATATTTTCAAGATAGGCAGGTTATGATTTTCTTTAGTCAAAAATTCAAACTATTTCTGAAATACTACACCATCTGCTTTGTTCAGGGTCTAACAGATATGGGAGGTGAGTTACCTGATTGTGTAGTGATTTACCAGTTTATGTTTTTACAGAAACAGTGAGCCAAGTCTCCTCTTTTTGAAAATCAAGGTTATAACCATCTCATAAGTCCTTTCATAAAAGTGGATTTTATTTTGCAATTAAGGCTTATATACACAAGTTCTTCACCAAGGTGAAATGAGTGTTAATTTGTTTGTTTGTTTGTTTGTTTGTTTGTTTTGAGACAGAATCTCACTTTATTGCCCAGGCTGGAGTGCAGTGGCACAATCTCGGCTCACTGCAACTTCTGCCTCTCAGGTTCAAGTGATTCTTCTGCCTCAGCCTCCTGAGTAGCTGGGATTACAGGTGTGCACCACCATGCCCGGCTAACTTTTGTATTTTAAGTAGAGATGGGGTTTCACCATGTTGGCGAGGCTGGTCTTGAACTTCTGACCTCGTGATCCACCTGCCTCAGCCTCCCACCAGTGTTAATTTTTACAAAGAGTTAAAGAAAGCAAAACCTTTGGAAAGAGTTCACAGTGGAGAGAATTAAAATGTTCCCTCTTCAATAATGTAAAAAAATAAAAATAAAAATGGAGGAACACCAGAGGGTTTTTTTTCTTCAAGTAACAGGCATTTTTATGTCAGGCACTGTGGCCACAAACACAGATCCCCTGTTCCAGCTGGCTGCTCTCAGCCAGCTCGCTGGAACTGGAGCCCTTTTCTATTCCTCTCCAGGGACTGTGCTGAGAATTGTACCAATTTGCGTTTTCTGCTGCAAACAATAGAGATCATCAGCTCTGCCATATTTATGTAGAATAAAGAATTAATTGGAAAGATGTCAGGTAGCTTTCTGAATCAACAAGAACATTGGAGAACCAGACTAAAAAACAGAAACACAACAAACAAACAAAATCCAAAAAACTGGAGAACCAAGAGAGGTAGACAGCAAGAATAGCCATAGAAACTTCCTAGTTAAGATGATGCAGCAGGAAATACAACTACTGTATCACCCACCATTGACCACCGGTGCAGTAAGTAGGTATCTGCTGTGCTACCAGTCCCTTCACTTCCTTGCCACTATAGCCACTATTTGTTTGTTTTGGAATTTTCTCATTCTTAAAGTTTCAAAGTACTGATTGGGCAAGCTTAAATCAAATATCTATGTCCTACCTCACTAAAAGCAAGGAGAACAAATGCTTTAATTCTGTTTTCATGATGGAATGTGGAGCTCTTTCTTTCACTGATTCTGGAATTTTCTCAACAAAGAAATGTATTTAATTTCTTAATTGTCAAAGTTGGACAAATTTCACTAAGCCCCACCTCTCTGGCTCCCTTATATTTATACGCACCCTTCTTTTCATGCTTACAGTTCAAAAAATATAATGCAACTGCTCTTTCATATAATTTAAAACAGTCACTTATTGTTTAGGGGAGACTAACCAAAGTTCCATCAGATAATTTCTCTTGCTGAAGCATGGGACTTTAGGATAATGTCCATTCAATCCCTAGTATATACACGCATCCCTTGGTATCCATTAAGCATTGATTCCAGGACCCCCTCAGATAACAAAATCTACAGGTGCACGTCTCATATGAAATGGCATAGTGTTTGCATATAATCTACACACATCCTCCCATATACTTTAAATAATCTCTATGTTACTTACAATACCTAATACAATGTAAATGCTATATAAACAGTTGTTTATACTGCATTTTTAAAATCTGCATGTTTTAAATTGTTTATTGTTCTTTTGTATTGCTTTTTAACCAGATATTTTTTATCCACTGTTAGCTGAATCTGCTGATGCAGTACCCGCAGATATAGAGGTCTGGCTTTATTCTGGCACTCATGGTATTAAACTGTAGAATTCTTTATTATTGATTCCCTTAAAACATTAATAGTGGGATATAGAGAAATAAAAAAATAATTAAAATACATACATAACACAGCAAGGTGGAAAAAGAAGATAAAAGTTATAGTATTTGATTCATCAGGTGGTCACTACAATATCTACAGTATTTATGAGTTTCTGCTATTAACTATTCCATGTTTCTTTTACATTGAACTTGCCTCTCAGTTGGGGTTCTTTATTCAACGGAATAACCCAAAGCTTTATTCTTGAGAAATCTGTATCTTAATGTTCCTATTTATATAGGGTTCTATTAAATTTAACCATTGGACCAAAGAAGCATCATATGAGATTACCTGTTTTGTTGTTGTTTGTTTGTTTGTTTCTAGTGTATGTCTCTTCCATATATTTTCTGACATGAGGATTCCAAAAAGGCTAATTCATTTCCAATTCAATAGAACCATTTTTATGCCTCCTATTGGAAGCATTATTACTTTAGATACTGAAATCTCTAAACAGCAGAGTTCAGAATTACAGAGTGAAGAAGCAAACATTTTCCCAATGGGTAACCAGTTTTAATTATGAGAGGTGCCACCCCACTGCCATTCCTTTGGAGTTTGGGGAGAAACAGCAACTTCTATGAGTTCTGATTATACATTAGTTCAGAGAGTACACAGAATCTTGCTGACTAGTGTTTTAACTTGGCAGAGTGAGTGTTTGGGGTTTCCTTTGGAGTTTGGGGAGAAACAGCAACTTCTGTGAGTTCTGCTTATACAATTGGTTCAGAGGATACGCAGAATCTTGCAGGCTAGTGTTTTAACTTGGCAGAGTAAGAGTTCATCTGACACCTTAACGCAGTCTTGAATGGCCATTTTACTAACCTATAAGGTCACCTGTTTTGGAAGGTAGGGTACATAAATGCAGTAAATCTCATGGACATTGATTAATTGCCTTTATTTTCTATTGGAAAGCAAGTTTCTTCATCAGAATAATTCTTGTGCGAGGTATCTTATGTGTTTAAAACAGTAAATCGATGGATGGTGGGTTGGAGACAAACATAGCGGGCAGGAAAAACAAAACTGACTCATAAGTGTCTATTTCCATAAGAAAATAATATCTAAGTTATCCAGTAGCTGTCTCATCCTTAAAAGCCGAGTGAATTACTACTACTATTTTTGCTCTTAATCTGATACCAAAGGGAAAAACAGTGTGCTGCTGAGAAGTGTAGCTTTGGAACAGTGCTCAGCTCAGTTAGGCAACAAATGCCCAGTAATGACCTGATTTTGGAGGCTGGAGTATGAAAGCAGAGCAACACTGCCTTGAGTATTGATCATTCACTAGACTTGCAGTGACTTGGCATAGCAAAATTATTCATGCTCCCCATATTAACAAATTTAGGTTATTAACTACAGTTGTTACCTTCCAATATTCTAAGGAAATATGCTGTTTTGACATACAGAAATAAAAAGCAGTCTTTCAGCTTAAAAAAATAATTCTCTCTAGGAGCCGCCAATTTCAAAATTAAATAATAAAGACCAGAGAGCAAAGATAAAATTCCCATAGTACTGAAAATGAATGCTGGCAGGAAACTGAATGTCAGAATCAAGCATGAATTTCAGCAAAATACAACCCTAAAGCAGTTGGATTGAGGGGGAGTAAATTGTCCATATTTATTTTTGTAATATATTTAGCTTTGCTTTAGAAACAAAATTTACCTGAAGAAAGAGGCAGAGATCTGATCATCCCCAACAAACACCATCACCAAGATAGTCTCTGCCTTTTTGATTCAGAGGCCTATGTTCTTATTAAATTTTCAAGCATTCTACAGACATGTTTCTGTCAAACATGTGAAAGTCGAGGTTTTCAGCCCACATGTGTCTTCCTTTCAACTCTCCCATTTTTTTCTATATCCTTCAAGGGATAAGAACCACCAGGAAACAAGGCCACAAAAGATAAGAGTGGGCAGAGAACAGTGGCAGGCTGTCTGATGGGAGCTGTGGTCACCACAAGTAAGGTTCTGTAATCACTGGCTCAAAGTCTCAGATAACAGGGTAGGGAGAGTAAAAGAAGATCCCACCTCGATTAATCAGAATCATGCAAGAATCCCAGAAAGATGCCTAGAGTTGTGCTAGGATCAGTTTATAGCAGCCTTCTCTTCAGATACAGAGCTGGTCATCCTAGCACACAGTGGGTTAGGCAAGAGACAGCCACGTGTTCTGTATTAACATGCATCTGCCTATGACCCACCCCATTTGTAGATTCATAAAGAGAAAAGAATGCATTGTATGAAAAACATACTGCAGAACAGGAGAAAGAAAACAACATTCTGAAGACATGGGGAATTAGTGTCTGTTTGGAAAATAGTAAAACAGTTTAGAGTCACTTAACCAATTCAGCGAATACTTCCTATGTGCCTGACATGTCCAGGCACTGATGGTCTCTGGGATCTATAATTTTTAAAAATAAGACATACCTAACTTCTCCCTTTGTAAAGATTCAGTCTTGGTAGAAATATGGCCAAATAAACAGGAAGGTGTAATATCTTGTAGTACATTTTACAAAAAGGGAGTTATAGAGTGTTACAGAAACGCAGAAGGACCACTTAATTCAGTTTGGTGAGGATTGATGGTTTGCTCAGAGATGAGGTCCTGGATAAAGTGACATCTAGTTGAAAGTTGGGGTTACTTTGGTAAATGGCAAAAGAGTATAAATGTCTAAGAGGACAGTGATTGGAGGGAAGCATGAGGCTCCAGCAGTTCAATCTGGCTGCACCACAGGTTATACAGAGTGAATGGACCAGTGACACTGGCGGGAGGAACTGACTGGCATGGCAAGAGGTGGGGTAGTGAAGGAAACAGGGGCCAGGAGCCTGTGAGTCTCATCAGGAGCGAAGACTTTATCCTGCGGGCAATATACAGCTACAAGTGCTTGTTTAGGGGAGTTTTTTAAATATAATTTTAATATAATTTTAATGATTAGGGACATTAGAGGCACCATTCTGCTGCAGTGTGGAGAATTAGAGGTAGGTAAGATAGATACAAAGTGACCATGTAAAAAGGAATTGTCATAATCAGGAAAGACAATGGCCTGAACTGATGCCTAAAGAAAGTATAGAAATGGAGAAAGTGGACGGAATTTATTCACCATTAAGAGGTGCAGGCAAAAATATTTGATAATTGTATAAAATACAGGATGAGGAAGATGTATGAATCAAGGGCATCTTGGGTTTTCCTGGCTAGGGTGACTTAGTGGTGGCGATGCCATCTACTCTGGGAGGAAACAAATATAGACCAGATGAGAAGTGAGGGGATGACGAGTTAAAATTATGACATGAAAATATGAATTTTCTGTGAAATGTTTGAGAGAAAATGTCTAATAGGTATCTGGAGATGTGAGTCTGAATCTTTGGAGAGACTCAGCTTAAGACTTCGGATTCATAATCTCCAGTACACAGACCATAAGTGAAGGTGCTGTGCTGCTCGATATCAGAAAGGAAGAGTCTGTTGAGTGAGAAGAGATCAGAGGAACGTTTGCATCCAAGGGAATGGAGAACTCCACTGTAAAGAGGGGAAGAAGCAAGAATGAAGACAAATGTAAGTCAGGTTGTCCTATTTAAGTCAGAAATTTGATTGGATGGTTTGTATTGCCTGTGGGACCTAGGAGGAAAGTTCCTCCCTGGGAAAGTACATCAAGGGAAATAAGGGACAAAGCTGGCCAGAAAACAGAAGAATTGTTAGGCAGTTGCATTTGGAGCCTAGGGAATTTGTAACAGTTCCAGACTACAGGGTGAAGAGAGTACTCTCTCTCCTCCCAGCCAGAGATCTCAGTAGCCGTGGTATAGAACCAGAGGGAATATAAAGGAAAGGACTAAGTGATGAAAATGTGCAATCCAAATGATGATTGATACAAGCCAACGCACAGAGTAAAGAACAAATGGAAGCAAGAATATGTGTTTTAACAGGAAAAAAAATGTCCTTGCCTGTACATTCTTTTTGAATGACAGGCTTCACTTTCCAACAAGATAAGTTAAAGTAAGTAGATACCTCACCCCTGCACTGCAAGCTAGATCATGTTAGTGTGTTGTGGTGGTGGTGGTGTTATAAAAACTGAATTCAAAAAGAGATACAAGAATCCAGGAAGAAGACAAAAACAAAACAAAACAAAAAGTGTTTGCCTACTAGAGAAATGAAATCAAGTTATTTTCAGAATCCTCTGTAACACTAAATGAAAGAAAACAGAGTTTTGTGGGGGAAAATAGTGACCAAAGGGAATTGTATTATACATTTAGATTTAATCCATATTATAAATCTGTATTTAATCTGTGAAAGCAAAATAAAGATAATCTAAGATAACATAAAGTCTTAAGAAGTTTAACACTCATATCTTCTAATTGAAGCAAAAATTTAAGATTCATTTCAGTAGACTGAGAAGTAAAGGAAAATTAAAGGTTTAATAATAATATAGTATTCTTAGAGGATTTCGTGAACACTAAAGTCAATTAAGCAGAGAAATAAACCAAAATCATTGTGAATATAATACAAGTCTAAATAGGAATACTAAAAAGTATTTTTGAAAGGAAGTCTATGTAAAGTTGTTGCATAAAGTAGGAAATATATAAACCGTATGTCTAATATATTCAACAGCTTATATGAGCACAAAGAAACAAAATATTGGTATGTCTAGCGATACAAAATTTTAGAAAGCACAATTACACAAAATTAGAGACAAGAGAGTTTACTACTGATATGTATTTTTGGAAACTCAATAGAATACTGTATATATCCATGAAACAAAATTTTAATAAAATAGGAATTTTCAAAATTAACTTGAGGAAACAGACATTTAAAAAATGTAATAATCATGAAAAATTATAAGTATCAAAGAATTACTATTAAATATCAGGTCATAATTCTAGGGATTTTTATGAAGATATTGTTTCTAATTTTTATACAAATGATAATTTTTGTACTGTTTAAATATTCCTAATGTTTACAGTTTCTCAATTGACAAAGACAGTACAATCTTGATACCAAAACCTGCCAAAGATACCACATAAATATAAACTACAGGCCAATTTCATTTATAAGTAAAAAAAAAATATTTTATATAAAATACCATTAGATCTTAAAAAAATTATGCTTTTTTCAATCCAAGAGTAATGCATATCATAACAACTAAAATAATTTTTAAAAAAATTCTAACCACTAGTATCCTAAGGAATGTTAAGAGAATAATACACCAAGAACAAGGAGGCTTCTTTCCAGTGATACATGGATTGCTCAATATTAGAAAATTAATTAGTGTCCAGGAGGTCTTTATTGTCTCAGTACAATAGGAACTGATCTTTAGAAGTAAATTCACTTAAAACTGGAACCATATTCTCGTAGTTAGTAGTTTTTAGAAACAAAAAACATTTTATTGACAATCAACCTTAAAATAAAAATGAATTTGTGAATTGTATTTGTTTTCATCTAACAATATGTAACTTGGAATTGAAACTATGAACCAATTTCTATAATAAAATAAAGATGAATCAAGTAATAAATCTTTTAAAAAATAGTTCTCTAATAAAATTATAAGATCACATTTTCATAAATTATCATAAAAAGATCCTTCTGGCAAAATTTCTAGAGGTCTCAACTCATTTTCCAAGGGCCTTTTGAACCATTGAAAGTCAAAGCATTCTCAAAGTCCACTGAAGTCAAAGTATTAAATGCATTTAATGTCATCAAACTTTTTGATGTTTTCTTCTTCAAATACTAATTGTTTTAAATCTCTCAGACCTTCTTATATCAATGGATTTGAGTATGATCCTAGCAATTTCCAATTTTTTTTAAATTTTATGAAATCGTGTATATTTATATTTGCCATTTCAGTTTACAATTGATTTGCATTATCTGATGCTTACCATCTGAAATCAATGAATAATTTAATAGTATAATGTGATATCTTTATGAGGAAGAGACTAAGTTTAAAAGTGTTCAGTTTGCTAGTGAACATTTTTGTACTCTGATGAATTTTGCCCCCTTATTGTAATATTATGAGCTCTACGGACTTCAATAATAAATAATATTTCGATGAGTTTTTTCTACTTCCTCCCTTATACACGTGTAAACATTTTTTTCACCACTCGAAAGGTGGGAAAAAAGAGGGATATGTATCTCCAAAGTTACTGGTATAAAGGAAAAAAAATACCTCATTAGAAAAAAATCATGTAAACTAGAATTCAATAGATAATTCCTTAAGATTTTTTAAACATCTCAAATGTATAACTACTAGAGGCACTATCATTAAAAACCCTGGCTAAGATAAACTCAGTTCTAGCACCACTGTTATTTAACATTGTTTTGGAAGTTCTGATCAAATCAAAAAGTCTAGAAAAAAGAAATAAGGCTAATTTATTGGAAATAGAGAAAATTATTGGTCTTTAAAAATTATGTGATTGTATAATTAGAAAAAACTAACAGAATCAGTTAAAATATTATTGAAATAAGAAAATTTTTCTTACATAGCAGCTATAATTAGGTCAATATATAGCGAGTAGCTATTCCATTTATAATAGCAGCAAAACATAAAATATTAGGATATTTAGCCAAAAAAATGAACAGGACTTAAGAAGAAAAGTATACAACTTTACTAAAAAACCTAAATTAAGACTTAAATTAATATAGACACAAAATAGTTTACCAGAAAGAAAGGCAATATTACCAAGATGTTAATTGCTCTAAAATTGATTTATAAAAATTAATTTATAAAAGTAGCAATCATAATCTCTTCCAGATAAATCTCACAAAACTCTAATTTTTATCTGGGAGGAAACACTGGCAAAATTAGTCAGAAGAAGAAATGAAGAACGAGTAATTATTGAAACTTGCATGATCAGAAATAAAAATATATTAAAATATCACCATAGTGAAGAACATTGAACTATTTGCTCAGAAGATGACATGTCGTTGGAACAGAACGGAAACTCTAGAAACAAGATATTTAGACACACTCACAGTACCAGTATATCATGACAAACAAATGATCATCGTGGCACATAAATTCATTAAGAATGTACTCCATTAACAATTCCAGGACATTTTTTATTTGGGAAAGAACCTATTATTTTTGGAACATGAGCTACCCAACAGGCAAATGAAAATATGAAGCTGATTTTGGTCTTTGGGGAGATATTTAAAAGTCTAGTCTTTGAAAGTCATTCACGGTTGAAATTGTAGGAGGGCCCATATGAATAGAAACAATGAAAAAGAAATATACTGGATATACAACTTTGAGGAATTAACTATATTTATAGGCAGAAAATGAAAAGGAGCCTGTGAAGAGTCCCTGGGTCCTCAAAGTCCAGAAAGCAAAAGGTTCCTTTGACAAAATTTGAATCGTCAGAGAGACCGAAGAACATACCGTATTTGAGAAAATGTGGCACATATACATCATGGAACACTATGCAGCCATAAAAAGGATGAGTTCACGTCCTTTGCAGGGACATGGATGAAGCTGGAAACCATCATTCTCAGCAAACTAACACAGGAACAGAAAACCAAACTGCATGTTCTCACTCATAAGTGGGAGGTGAACAATGAGAACACATGGAGACAGGGAGGGGAACGTCACACACCAGGGAATGTCAGGGGGTTGGGGGTGGTGGTAGGGGAGGGATAGCATTAGAAGAAATACCTAATGTAGATGACGGGTTGATGGGTGCAGCAAACCACCATGGCACGTGTATACCTGTGTAACAAACCTTAATGTTCGGCACATATGTCCCAGAACTTAAAGTATAATAATAATTTTTGGCCGGGCGCGGTGGTTCACACCTGTAATCCCAGCACTTTACGAGGCCGAGGCGGGTGGATCATGAGGTCAGGAGATCAAGACCATCCTGGCTAACACTGTGAAACCCCGTCTTTACTAAAACTACAAAAAATTAGCCAGGCGTCGTGGCAGACGCCTGTAGTCCCAGCTACTCGGGAGGCTGAGGCAGGAGAAAGACGTGAACCTGGGAGGCGGAGCTTGCAGTGAGCTGAGATTGCGCCACTGCACTCCAGCCTGGATGACAAGAGCGAGACTCTGTGTCAAAAATAAAATAAAATAAAAAGCAATAATAATAATAATAATAATATTTTTTTAAGACAATAAAGGGTCACTGGGGTTTTGTGAAAGGCCAGAAACCAGTTTATGGGAGGTAAAGGAGAAAACACATGATAAAAAATTGTATTCAAAGGTAGACTCTGCATTAAAAATATTTGGCTGTGAAACAAAGGAGAAGAGATGACAAAAGGATGTTTATAGGTAACACACCAGGCACTTCCATGCGCCATTTTTTTAACATTTATTTTTGTTTTTAAACTTTTCATGCATTACTCTTTGGAGTGGGATTGTAAGTTTATTGATGTATAATTTACAAATCAAAACTCACCCATTCATGAAACAGTTACACTATTCTATGAATCAACAGAAATATAGTCATGTAAATACCACTATAGTCAAGATACAGAATATTTTCATCATCCCCAAAAATTCTCTCCTTTTTCTTTGCAGTAAGTTTCCATCTACACCCCACACCTCTGACATCCACTGATCTTTCCTGTCCCTACAGCTTTGCCATTTACAAAGTGAAATATAAATGGAATCATATCATATACAGCCTTTTGAGCCTGGCTGCCTTCACTTAGCGTAATACTTTTCAGGTTTATTCATGTTTTGAATATTTCGTTTTTATTGCTGAGTAGTATTCTCTTTTATGGGTATGCCACAATTTCACCATCCTAAAAATTAATCCTCATAACTAACTACTAAGGGAGATATTATTATCTACACTTTACTGAAGACATAATTGAGGATCCAGGAGGTTACTCAGCTTCCTGAATCCCATGGCTAATAGGAATTGGAGCTGGAGTTCATGCCTTAAAACCCAAGGACCGTATATACCTCAGAGATTGAAAAAGTAAAAAATATTAATAATAGAAAAAGGAATTATTACAGGTCTAGAAAATAGGTCAGATAATGATTTTTTTAAAAAATTCTATTAATTTGTCTCTCATGGAAAATTAAGATAAAGTGTTTGTTTTCTTTAAAACAAGCTTGTGCTTTTTCAAGTTTCATGTCTCCACTACCCTCTGTTGTGTATTTCATTGTTTTAAAAGATAATATAAGAATTTGAGTGAACTCAACCCACTTTGCACCCCTGGAACATTTTAAAGATCTTGAAGCAAATTGAACTTCTGATTTGGATCTGTTCCTGGGGGACATTTGCCACAGCCACATGCTTCCATCAAATGTACAGTACATGATCAGAAGGATTCATACTATAGATAGAAAAAGGACAAACTGCATTTGAATCTGTTCACTTCTAAATTTAACGGTTCATTTTTGTGTTTATGTAGAGCAGCATCAAAGCTCTGCTTTGCCAATACTGTATTTTATTTAATTCTTAGATTTATACTAATTCATCCATTTCCTGACTTTTGACTGTCTCATCTCCTTGCAGGAATGATTTTGTGCATATTTAGAAAACAAGTTGATCAGAATTCCTGCTGCCTTTGGTCCTGCAGCAAGTTCCTCTCCTTTTTTTTTTTTGACGATAATAAAGGCACCCCACAAGGACCACCACAAGGGAATGTGTTTCACATCACAACACAGATGGCTTGTTTACACCATTTCCCCTTCTTGCAGAAATTTTTAGGGATGAATTCAAATTTTACTTCTTGTCGCATTATGTGTCTTATAATTCCATTCTCATCAAAACCTTGTTTTGCCCTTGAAATACAGTAAAAAAACTATTCTGCTTTCATTTATTTTAATATATGAAGATCAGCATGAATTAGAGTAACTAGCTACCCCCTCCCAGCTATTTGCCAACTTTTAAACAACTGTCTACAAAATCCTTAGGGTCACTCAGTGCTCACCTTTATATTAACAAATGACATCTAGAATCTCTGTCTTGAATTTTGCAGCATTTAACTCATTAAATGATTTGTATAACTTCTTTGACACTATATGTAAATATTCCAGGTCAGTCTATTTTTTTTTTCCCTAGGCGCAACATTATTGATAAAGGCTAGAACAATAGTTCTCGGTCTTTATCATACCTGAGAATTACCTGGGAGCTTTTACAAAATGGTGATGCCTGAAGCCCGTCATCACAATTTCTCAGTTAATTGTATTGGAGTACAAGGGCCTGAGCATCACAATTTTTAAAGTTTGTTCGCACAATCCTAATGAACAGCCTGAACTGAAGAACCCTGGTCTAGAATTTTCAATCAAACATTCAATAGGATGCCAATAGAGGGCTTTATTTGCTTTTTTCTTCACATCCTCATGAAGTATGCGTTTGCCATTTAAGGTTATAGGAGTGCATGGATGTGGGAAGTTTTCCATCGTGATGAATATTTATGGAGAGAGTGGCAGCTCTCCTATTGTGTATCCAACAGGTTGGTGAGAGTGTTTTGTAAACTTCTATAGAAATATGATATTTATCTAGTTCCTGGAGCAGTTTTTATTCTAGTATCTTACCCTGAAGGACATTGAGTAAGCTCTATTCCCAAAATTAGAGAGGCCTATTCTCCAATTATGAAGAACCCACCAAAACAATTACACTTCCATTAGAAACGGTAAACCAGTGTGTCTCAACCTCAGCACCATTCACATCTGGGCCACATAATTCTTTGCTGTGGGGGTCGTCCTGTGCATCTCGAATGTTCAGCACCATCCCTTGTTCCTCCCCACTAGATGCTGGTAGCAGTTCCCTAGTTGTGTCACCCAAAAATGTCTGGAGACATTGCTAAATACTCACATAGGGGCAAAATTGCCCCCAGTTGAGAAACTGTTCTAAGCATATAAATGTAATTTTATACCTAGCTTGAAATGTTTTATCAGGGTCATTATCACTAGAACATTGATATGTGCACACATTGCTGCTGTACTCATTTTTCCATTAAATATCTGGAGTATTTAGCATCAGTTCTCAAAACTGTGGCAAAATGTTCATGTCAAATTAGGCCATGCACTATTATATCAATATTGTTATAAACTGGAGGCTCAGGGGCAGATGGGGATGGTTAATAGGTACAAAACAAAACAAAAAGAATGAATAAGACCTACTATTTGATAGTACAATAGGGTGACTAAAGTCAATAATAACTTCATTGTACATTTAAAAATAAAGAGTGTAATTGGATTGTTTGTAACTCAAAGGATAAATGTTTGAGGAGATGGATAACCCATTCTCCATGATGTGCTTATTTCACATTGCATGCCTATATCAAAACATCTCTCACCTACCCCATAAATATATACTCCTACTAGGTACCTAAAACAAAAATAAAATAAGAATGCTGAATAAAATATTATTGTAAACGTTTTAAACATCTAACATGAAGGAGACTGTGTTCCTATTATTGTAGTGTATAAGGAAGTATGGGAGACAGGAAATGTAAGGAAAAAAAGTAATAACAATACTAACTGCTAGTATTAGAATCTCCTTTTCAAATGCTCTGGCCCTTTGGCATCCTGTAATTTACAAGCAAACAAAGACTAAATCTGGTAGATTCACAGGAGATATAATGATTCTATTATTTTATCCCTTTCATGAATCCATGTTCTTCCATATGTGTGAAGAACATTGATATGGTTTGGCTGTGTCCTTACCCCACCCAAATCTCATCTTGAATTGTAACTCCCCCAATTCCCATGCGTTGTGGGAAGAACTCAGTGAGAGGTGACTGAATTATGGGGTTGGGTCTTTCCTGCACTGTTCTGGTGATAGTGAATGAGTCTCAGGAGATCTGATGGTTTTAAAAACGGGAGTTTGCCTGCACAAGTTCTCTCTTTGCCTGCTGCCATTCATGTAAGATGTGACTTGCTCCTCCTTGCCTTCCACCATGATTGTGAGGCCTTCCAAGCCACATGGAACTTTAAGTCCAGTTAAACCTCTTTCTTTTGTAAATTGCCCACTCTCAGGTATGTCTTTATCAGCAGCATGAAAACGGACTAATGCAAACATTATAAAAGAGATAGAAGAAATTAGGTTGTAATTTTGCCTTTAACTTGGAAATAATCTATTTGTGAGTTCTTCTTCTTCTTCTTCTTCTTCTTCTTCTTCTTCTTCTTCTTCTTCTTCTTCTTCTTCTTCTTCTTCTTCTTCATCTTCTTCTTCGACAGGGTCTCACTCTGTCACCTCTTCTTCTTTTGTTGAGACAGGGTCTTGCTCTGTCACCCAGGGTGAGTGGTGTATACAGTAGTTTATACTGGAGTTTAATGAAGAAGATTATCATTAAGGGTGAGAGAGAGAGACAGAGAGAGAGAGAGAGAGATTTCACAGGAGATCCAGAAATTGATCTGGTTTTTGTAGGAAAATTGTCTTATATAAGTATATAAAAATGAGGAAGATACTCCAATGGTGACAGAAGAGTAGATATCGTCAAGGAGAATAGAAAAAGAGAAAGAGAGAGAGGGAGTGGAGAGATCACTTGGGTGAAGTGGTGCTTGAGAGTGGCCTATAGAAAGATTAAACACCTATAAAGTAGATTAAAGTGAAAGAAAGTCACTGGATTAAACTAAGTTTAAAAATGCAGAATAGAGCAAACACAAAATAGTGGTAGAAGAGTGGTATTGGAAACTCTGTTGATGTATAGGCCAAAACTAGAAATCAGTATTCATGCATCATGAGATGAGGTCAAGAACTATGTGTGTTTGTGTCTGTGTCTTTACGTACATGTACACACACATGCATATATGCACTATTGTATAATCATATGACATTATCATTTTTTATTTGATTGAGGTAAATTCAAGATATGTTTTTATCTTTCATGGAGTTAATAGGCATATTCCCTGTGCTTCAGGATCCCGTCCAACAATAAGGACCCATTAACACACACACATGACAGACGCAACTGGCCAATTTTTTAAGTCTAATCTGAAAAGCATTCTTGATTGCCTGCTAGCATAAAGAATCCCCTTTAAACTCTGTATCAAACAAGACAATACCAAAAAGCTACTCATAAAATCATATATACTATTCAATTCCCAATATATATAAAATTAAATATGAAAATTCACCTACACACAGATATATAACATATGTATATAAAATACTGGAAGGAAATGCAGCATTGTTATTCCAGAATATTTGAATTATGAATGTATGCATTTTTATTTTCATCTTTATGTATATCTTCATTTTCCACAGTCAATACTTCTTATCATTATTTAGTCATAAAACATATACAAGTTGAGCATCCCTAATCCAAAAATTCAAAATCCAAAATGCTTCAAAATCCAAAACTTTTTGGATTGTGCACATGATGCCACAAGTGAAAACTTCCACACCTGACCTCCTGTGAGAAACACAGTCAAAACTTTGTTTCATGTACAAAATTATTTTAAATAATATATAAAATTACTTTCAGGCTATGTATAAGAGGTATACATGAGACATAATAGAATGTCATGTTTAGATTTGGGTCCCATCCCTGAGATATATTATTATGTATATGAAAATATTTCAAAATCTGAAAAAATATGAAACACTTCTGATCCCAAGCATTTCAGATAACAGATATTTAGCCTGTATCAATGTCGGTATGAGCCAGGCACTATGCTAAACCTTTGCAATACTTTATAAATATTATCTCATTAAATTCCTAAAATAGCCCTTTGGGGTAGATCTTATATTATCCTCATAGTGCAGATGAGGAAAATAAGGATAAGAAAGGGTAAAATTGTCTCAGATGACACAGTTTAACAGCGGAAAAACTAAGGTTACACCCCAATCATTGTAACTCAGGAGTCTGTACTTTTAACCTTGGAAAGCACTGACCCCCTTAATAAAAATAAGAGAATGGATATGTGAGAATACATGATTACATCTCAATGGAGTACATAGATTTCTCTAAAAATTCTAATGCTCTTCCTATTTTTCTATATTTACACCAAATTTTATTTTCATTAAACTCACAGGGAGTTTCACCTATTAGGTATGTGGTTTTATCTTCTTTGTAAGTGGGTATTCCAACATTTTGGGGATACACCCTAGACAGAGTTTACAAGATACTGTTCCTTCCTAAAAGTCCAAACCAATATGTATTTTAATAGATTATTTTAGTCAAAGCCTGCAAAGACAAGGTTAAGAATGACTGTTTCATGTAGTGACTGCATGCTGTTGAAGAACACTGGTTAGTTGTCAACCTGTTCTGCTATTTACACCAATTATATATTAGTCTAAATGTCACTTTTTATGAATTTCAGGTACATAATTTAGGATGTAACTAGCTCAAAACTAATAATAAAGCTAAAAGCTATACATTTATTTTCAGACATCACATTTTAAGCAAAAGTACACTATTTTTTATTTTATAAAAATAACCTGAATGTTTTCCATTTCACTTCCAGTGTTTTCCCGAAGTGAAATCTGACTCATATTTTACATGTAGTAAGATTTCTAGGACAGTCTTTATTTAAACAATTAAAACTCTATGGCACAAGAAAGACTGTGCTCAGTGTAGTAGATATAGAAGCAACATGTGTTATAATTTCAGTTTGAGTCATTTATCACATATCACAAGAGTATAACAAAAATCTTGAGGATCACATGCTATGCACTAGACCATTTAATCAACCTAATTGAGGTTAAAATTAAATGTAATTTAAGGTTACAGGAAAGCCCTTCATATCTACAATCCTTAACCACTCAGTAAAGAAAAATTTTTGAATTTTTTGTATGCATGACACTGGCTCAAATATGTAGTTGGTTTAACATCAAGCAGGTTTTATGTATGTGAACTAATTTACACTCCCACCACATATATATATATATAAAACAAATTTTTACAAAGGATAACAAAGCTAAATATTTCTATAATTTTGACATTTGTATTTAATTTGAAACAAAACATTCAGTAGACATTTTTCTTATTCTTTTTTCTGAAACACTATGCCTCTCATTGATATATTACAGAAAAATAAAAGTCAGCACATGCAGCAAGTGAAAGGTTATGTAGGTTTTTAATATTCTTAGTATCATGAAAAGGTTAGCTCTGTTAATTACCAAATGTAGAATGTATTATCTACTATGAGTTGTTTGATTTTAGCTGGAAAACAGAAACAAATTCAACTTTTGGCTTAGACTAGATTATATAAATGGGCAACAATATCTGTGTCATTTTCCATATTTAGATAACTTAAACTCAATGTACCATTAAAGATATGACTGAAACATCTTGATTCTTTCCGTTTACTTTTCTGATTTACAACTTTTATCTTTAAGTTTAGGGGTACATGTGCAGGATGTGCAGGTTTGTTACACAGGTAAACGGGTGCCATGGTGGTTTGCTGCACAGATCATTCCATCACCTAGAGATTAAGCCCAGCATCCATTAGCTATTCTTCCTGATGCTCTCCCTCCTCCCATCTCCACCCACTGACAGACCCCAGTGTGTGTTGTTTCCCCACATGTGTCCACGTGTTCCCATCATTCAGTTCCCACTTATAAGTGAGAACATGCCGTATTCAGTTTTCTGTTCCTGCATTAGTTTGCTGAGGATAATGGCTTCCAGCTTCATCCATGTCCCTGCAAAGGACATGATCTCATTCACTTTTATGGCTGCATAGTATTCCATGGTGTATATGTACCACATTTTTTAAATCCAGTCTATAATTGATGGGAATTTAGGTTGATTTCATGTCTTTGCTGTTGAGAATAGCGCTGCAATGAACATATGCATGCATGTATCTTTATAATAGAATGAATTATATTCCTTTGGGTATATATTCAGTAATGGGATTGCCGGATCAAAGGGTATTTTTGCCTCTAAGTCTTTGAGGAATCACCACACTGTCTTCTATAATGGTTTACACTCCCACCAACAGTGTAAAAGCGTTCCTTTTTCTCCACAACCTTGCCAGCATCTAATGTTTTTTGACTTTTTAACAGTAGCCATTCTGACTGGTGTGAGATGGTGTCTCATTGTGGTTTTGATTTGCATTTGTTTAGTGATCAGTGATGTTGAGCTTTTTTTCACATATATGTTGGCCGCATCTATGTCTTCTTTTGAGAAGCATCTGCTCATGTCCTTTGCCCACTTTTTAATGGAGTTTGTTTTTTCTTGTAAATTTGTTTAAGTTTCTTGTGGATGCTGGATATTAGACATTTGTCAGATGGATAGATTGCAAAAATTTTCTCCCATTCTGTATGTTGTCTGTTTACTCTGATGATAATTTATTTTGCTGTGCAGAAGCTCTTTAGTGTAATTAGATTTCATTTGTCCATTTTTGCCTTTGTTGCAATTGCTTTTGGTGTTTTTGTCACAAAATCTTTGTCCATCCCTATGTCCTGAATAGTATTGCCTAGGTTTTCTTCTAGGGTTTTAAGTTTTTACACTTAAGTCTTTAATCCATCTTGAGTTGATTTTTCATATGGTGTAAGAAAGGGGTCGATCCGCATATGGCTAGGCAGTTGTCTCAGCACCATTTATTAAATAGGAAATCTTTTCCCTATTGCTTGTTCTTTCTGTTTACTTTCTCATAAAACTACTTGGAACAGTTTTGTTCACTCAATGAAAGGTTTTAAGCCACAATCACTGTCTGAAGTTCCTTCTAACACTTTCACTTTTAGTTTTGGGAGACGGGCAAAGTTCATCAACGGCTCAGTGCAATGGCATTTCAACAATTTTATTATGGTTCACAATAAGATGTATATTTCATTTTGTGATTTAAAGTATGTGAAGATAACACATACCCTGAAACTAAAGTTTTGAAAACCAGCACTTACCAGTACTGACTGTAATTTATTCTAATAATTTTAATTCCAATGTGTTCCATAATGTTAAAACTTTTAAATATTAAAACTTTAAAAATCTGGTTATGGCCAATTTAACTGACTTAAAAACCCATAATGTGTGGGTCACCATGGTTTGAAAATAGCAACCTTCTTTGTTTAAAGTAACCACTTTTTCCAGTAATCAAAAATGGTTTCTATTAGCTGTAAAACTTGTTGGCTTTGACTCATATAAGTCAAATGCCTCTGCATGATAGACTCAAACTTTACTTTTAATCTTTGAAATATTACATTGATTCAGTGAGCCACTGAATTGTTTGCTATCTGATAAGAAAAACATAATGCCATAAATAAAAATTTATATATTTGTCTAGGATATAGACATATTTTTCATATTTATCTATTCAAGCAAACAGAAAAAAATGACTTTAAAAATGTAGTCTCCTTGTCTCCATTGTTAATGGCAACATCTTGATTATTTTTATCCAAATCAAACACATATTTGTTTGAGTTTTTCACATGTATGAAAAAGTTGTTAGAGAAATCAGATCCTGACTTGAAGCCCCTGACTTCCAGTTGCAGCAGTGGCCCTAGATGATTGAACTATCCTATTCTCCTGTCCTTACTATATTTATGAAGACCTCACTTGATGTTTTAAAAATAATTTATCCAAGTACTTTAATTAGAGATTTTTCTCTATTGATGAAATATACTTTATTTTCTCAACTGGAAGTTATTCATCCTTTATTTGTAAAGGCAATGCTACTATCATTTTTTTAAAAGTAACACATTAGGCATTAACAACAACAGACTCCCAGATAAATTTTCTTCTAGTTTCTCTTGAACCCAAATTTCTAAAAATTCATTTCTAGAAGAATAGTTTTATTTAATGGAAATGGGAAGGCAGGAGAAGGAGTAGGTCTGAAGAAGAAGAGAGAATAAAAAAACAGGCAAATATTGCCAGTAGCTTTCATTTAACTTAAAATTCTACAAGATCGTTGGAGAGCTGGTTAAATAAATTATTTACTGGCTGCTCATTAGCAGGGTCCTGGATCACACCAAGAAAAGTGAAAAAGGCTTTATTAAACAAATGTAAGCCTCTCAAACGGAAATGGGTTCAAAGCTAGCTCTATCCCTATGATGCAAAGCCAGAAGTAGCATCTTGGTTGCTATAGGCAACCTAATTTTAACCAGTAAACTTTCATTTAAGATGGAGTCAACTATTGTTTCCCCTGCCCCTGTGCTGATGTTTGCACTATGTCAAAAATCTGAATACATAGGTATGAACTCAAAAAATAATTATAGACCATGTCTTTAGACATCACCCCTACCTAATACCTATGATCTATTTAGACTTAATATGTAATTATTTTAGTAAAACATGTTTCTAATCCATTTTAAATTCAGGAATAAAATTTTAAATTATCCCTGATTAGGTATGAATGCTGAAAATAAAATATTAATTAATTTTTGTACTTCTAGTTACTATCATAACTCATCTTCACTGCTTTAGCTATTAATTCTGTGTGGACCTAATTTCTTGAAAGAGTAGAGATAGCCAGTTTTAAAATCACGGATAATATCTATTTCATTGTTACAATTTTGATGTGAAAACACATTCTCAAAGCCAAATGTCTTAATTTCAAATTGTAAAATCGATAATGAACTGAACTTTACTCTCCCAATACCTGGTAGTGGAGAACATTAGTTAGTGCTTGCTTTTATTTAAACAAACCTTTGTCATTTAGCCATGAAGATCTTATAACCATAAATCAAGAAATTCGTAGAGGAGAGGAACAAAGCCAGTCCCCAAAGCAACTATGAATATTATTAACAAGGAGTACTGGGGAAAGCAAAGCTAGAGCCAAAGCCACTGGTTTTCATTTAGCAGACAAGAAATGTCATCTTTCAAGTAAAATCCTGACAGGATATATCCATTTGTAACTGTGACAATGAACAGTTTCTATTTCCCATTTGAAAATTGTGAGGAAGATGAGGATGATTACGATGATTATTTATTCAGGTTATTTATGTCATAAGACTGTTCTTAGGTCCCTATGTTGTCTCCACAGTGTGCTATGTTCTTTCCAAAGGGAAAACCAAACTTACTTTATTAAGTGACCCTTGAAAATTTCCCCAAATCCCCATTTGGTTTGGATTTCCCTTAATCTATTCTAGGATGAGAATATAGCAGAGGAAAGCATATGTTCCTAATAGATATTCAGACCAGATGTTAGTTGTCTATTACATATCCTATTCCTGAATGGGCAAGCAGAAGAGTCTATAAGAGAAGATGGAGAAGTCGTTAACTAGAGACCTTGGCCATTCCACTATTCTTACCAGTTTACAAAAGTTAAGAGTTCCACATTGCAGTACCTCCGGTCTGTCACTTTGAATTTCTGGACAATGTTAACAGCAAAATTTGTTACATACATACATGAAGGGAGAGGGGAGAAGGCACACCTGAGAGCCTATCCCAGGCATGTATTAGAAACAGGAGGGCTGAGGACCAGGTTCAGTGCATCTCCACATCTCTGTTGTCTGCAGCAGGGAACACATAAAACCTCTTCAAGGAGTTAAATCATCCCTCCTTATTCTAAATTAAGGCATACCCCAGGAACCATTGTCTTGATTCCTGTGACCTAACCCAGAGCTTGGTACACAATAGGAATACAACATATATTTATTGAATAAATTAATAGAAGCAAATTTATCCTGACATTTTTGGAGACCAGGGCTCTGAATGGAATTGGACAATATGAGTTTGAACAAAGTAAGCATAATTAAAATGTTGCATTATGTGTACTCCTTTGAAATATTAAAATCAGCTATAGTTTTGTTATTAGAGTGATTACATCGCCTTTGTTTAAGTTGTAATGAACACTCTTACTGCAAAGAATATAGTTCATTTAAGAACTATAAAACATTGCAAAAGAAATTGTTTTTTTAAAGCTCATACTAAAGTGCCATTTACAAAACAAGTCACAAGTAGTTGTCTATACCAGTAACCATCATAGGGGTAAAATAACAAGATTTGATAACCAAGTATTAGATCTGTAGATTAGGAGTGTAAATAATCTTTCTTTTCAGTTGTTGAATACTACAAAAAAAAAAAGAGCGTGAAATGAAACATTTTACGCATGGGTAATTATGAAGAGAGACACAAATATGGTGCAAATTTGAAAGCCTTCTCTTTCTACACAGAGAAAAGACAACATTGCCCTTTACAGGCCAATTGGAAAGACTTTTTAATGAGAAGTATGGTTTGGAAGATAAATACTGTATGTTATTGTTTTAATCCCTAAAAATCTGTTTTCACTAATTGATAATCGCTGGCAAGTGAGGACTGTTAGTGATAAATATAGTTATGATGCTTCCCTCTTCATTTCCAATGAAAATCTGTTTTTTTAAAAAAATTTTAATCAACAGGAGCTAGAAAGAGAATTGAGGTCATGTACTGCCTACAAATGGTGTATACAATTCTAATGCTGAAAGCACTGGCATTTTCACAAGAGCTTACATGAACTCTTCTTAAATTATGACCTTTTCTCTCATCACAAAGGGTTTAGGGCTTTGTCTTTAAATTCAATAAGATAAAAGAAGAAATCAATAAAAGGATATCATATCAGTCCTCTTGGAGGTGATCAGCAGAAACCAACTATGGTTTTATGGAAAGACTCTCTGGGGAGTCAGCATTGACAGGAACCTGGAGGGACCTACTTGGAAAATTCATTAGGCAAGGGATGGAAACACAGCAAACATCGTGGAGTTGAAAACATCCTAGTCAGGATACCTCTGCTGGGATGAAGGACTAAGGGCACCCAGTTCTTGCCTATATCCTGTAAGAGTTAAAGTCTCTGGAGAGGTTTCAGAGTGGCTGAGTTTCACTATCCTCCTGTCCTGGATCTAAGCCCTCCCTATCAGATGGTGGGGAGAAAAAGGACCTGGCCCCCTTGGCTTTCTTAGTGGGATGCCAGAAGCTGGAATTACTTTCTCACCAAAACTGCACATAATGGGTAACAGATAATTTACTGAGCATTTAGAGTGCCATAAGAGGATAGGATGCTGGGAACCAAATGCCAAACAGTGTCCAAGAACAAAATAAAGTATTTATCATCCAACATGCTGTACCTCAATTATCAGAGGAAGAAACCAATATCAATGGCAGTACCTACACAGCCTCTATGAGCCATGAGACCCTGGAAAGATGAGGATTGAAGAGAAAAGAGACACTTCACGTATTGATCACTTGCTCTAGGAAGACATTATGGTAGATGTAGTACACGCATTCACTCATCTGATTCATGACTACACAATTAAGTGGGTTATATTGATTTTCCCATTTTAGAGATAAGGAAACAGAAGCACAGGAAGATTAAATAATCACACAAAGATTAAAAGGGAAAACTGATGGGTGAATTTGGGTGTGCCAGATTTTAAAACCTATACTCATTCCACACTAATAACACATGCCTATATGAGAGTCAGGGCTCTGCCGGAATTGCTACTTTATACCAAGCCTCACAGACACCAGCTCTGTAACAAGGAAAGTCTGGACGGGAGAAAGAATAGCTGAGAGGGAACTTGGCAGGAGTGGAGGAAGATGTCTGTAATTTTATTCTCCAGCTAGTCATGAAGGACTGCTTACTTTATGCTAAGGAGTCTGGGCTCTTTCCAGAATGGATAGAGGAGTAGGAAAAAATTGTAAAAGAGGGAAATATACAATTAGATTTTTCTTTAAATCCCTACTCTCGTGGCCTTGTAATGAAGGAATGAGATGATGGCAAAGCCAGTGGCAGTGATTTCAGAAAGCAATCATAACCATCTATTTGAGCATTTATGGCAACAGTGAACATGGAAATGGAGAGTAGATGCAATGAGAAATTTAGATGAGTTTGGGGAGATTTGATGACCAATATAATTTGGCTACATGTGGGAAAGAAAAGAAGATTTTCCAGATTTCTGGCTTAAGTGCCTGGATAGATCATTCCCTCAGATCAATGGTACTCATACTCTAGCATTCATCAGAATCACCTGGGGGCTTGTCAAAACACAGATTGCAAGGCCCTACCCGAGTTGCTGATACAGTAGGTCTGGAATAGGGCCCTAGAATTTGCATTTATAATAAGTCCCCTGATGCTGCTGATACATCATTTAAAAACCTATGAAGCAAGATTTATTATTAGCTCCATGTTATAGAAGAGAAAATCAACATTTAAGAGGTATTAAGTAATTTGCCTAACATCAAGCAACAGTTTCTCTCCAATGTCTATGCATGTAAACACTATACTTACTGTCTCCCAGCATATGGGAGATGAGAGATGCAAGGAAAATAAATTAGAGTTTGGGTGGGAGAATAGGGAGTAGACAGGGTCATAGGAATATTTGAGAAATAATGAGTTTAATTTTAATTACATTCAGTTTGAGCCATATAGGTGTTTGAAAATGTGGGTATACAGAGAAGGTTACAAAGACAGAGTTAAAAGTTATTTCCACAAAAATGGTAAATGAAAACCTAACAGTAGAGAAGATCACCTTGCAAATAAATTATGATGGAAACATAGAGGATATCAATTTTATGGGATGGTCAGAGAAGCTCATGAAAGAAATTGAGGGATAAAAATGAAACCTGGAAGGTAAGATGTTCAGAAATTGGAGGGTGTAAAGTACAAGAATGTTTTCAGATGAAAGAATCCATTGACGGTGTCAAATACTGCACAGAGGGTTTATGTAGAACTGGTTGACTCCACTTCTACCTGTCCCTCCTCTAAGGGCAGGATCTCTTGCCACACCTAATTGGGTTACTGTTTCTCTCCTTTATTTTCTGGACTAATAACTGTTAAATCCTCTGACATTCTTATATCCTGATCTAAGGAGAAACACTCAGGAAAGCATCCCCTTTGGTATGATAGGTCAACAGAGTTAAAAAAAAATTAAAGGTACAGGGTTTTGAAAATAACCTCATATACCATCTCTTATGAAAAGTTTATGTAAGTACTAGACCATCTAGAACAATGACTCTCAAAGCATGGTTCTAGGAGCAACAGCATCTCCTGGGAACTTGCTAGAAATACAAATTTCTCAGTTCTCACCCTAGTCTTACTTAAGGAGAAATAATTCTGGGCCGAGTAACATGTATTTTAACTAGCCAGCTACAGAATTCTGATGCTCCCTAACACTGGAGACCATTGATTTAGAACATTTGGAATGCCAATTGGGAGTAAGGTCAATTGAGAGGCCAAAATCAGACCCTGAAAAGAGTTTTGGAAGGGATCCCTGAAAGGGAGAAATCCCCATTCCCCTCCAGTAAGTCTAACACTTTATTATGAGATGTGACATTATAGTGAGAGAGGTGGTATAATTGGGAGGGGATTTGAGAATACATTGTAGTATGGAAACAAGAGCTTATTAAATTAGCACATTTTCATTGAAAACAGACTAATTGCCAAACTCAAGGAAACAGAGCTAAACAAGTTAGCTGTTGTATCCACTCATAGAAGTTACACTCGAGATATCACATGCTTTTCCCTGGGAATGTCAGTGAACATCAGACAATTGATCTACAAGAAAGATGGGTCTAACTTCACCAAATTTCCCTGGAAACACAGTCATGGTATTTGGTAAGGGAAAAGTGTTCTATGAAATCCAAAATTCTTTCCTGTTTATTTGCCCTTCTATGTTGCTACCAACGTTTTCCAAATGTTCTGTGTGTGCATGTGTGTATTTGTATGTGTGTATATATACATAAGTATTCATAAGTAGATACATGTTTACATGTACACACATACACATATATTCACATATACATACAGGTATATATATATATATATATATATATATATATATATATATATATATTACATACAGGGTACATATTTTCAAACACTTGACTTTTGTATCATCACCTTCCTTAGTTTGAAACTATACCTATGTACAGTAACTTTAGGTGCAGTGAATATCTACCTGTCCATCTACTGAGTGTCCAGCCTAATAAATAAAACAATACTAATTTAGGTAAACCCCCCATGTACCCTCTCAGATCTCATTCCTGACCCTTCCCCTTGGTCGCAGCCGTTATTTGTTGCTTTTTGGTCCATGGGTTTATTAATGATTTATACATTTGCCTCTATCCTTAAGCAATATGTAGTTTTGTTTTGTATGCTTTTAATCCTAAATAGACGACATCATAATGTATTCTATAACTTGCTTTTATTTATCCTCAACATTACTTGTTGAGATTGTTTGTGAGTCATTATTTGCGAGATGTGTCCAGCTAGATAGGGATAGATACAGATCATTCATTTTTTACTGCTCTGTAGTCCTCTGCACAATATACAAATTTATTGATCTTTTCTTTTGTTGACATTTAAATTGTTGCCAATGGTTTTCTATTATAAACACTGCTGATTTGTACATAATTGTACATTTCTCCTTTTGCATAGGGGGATGTTTTACTAGGTGTTATTCTAAGAGTGGAATTGTTTGGTTTAGGATATATTCATCTTCAGAAGCTATTGCCAAATTTCTCTCCAAAGTGAATTTTCAATTCCCACAAGCAGAATGTAAGATTCTGTCACTCCTCACTCTTACTCATATCTGGTATTGTTATGTATTTTAACAGGGATGAATATGATATGTAGGCAAGAGTTTCTTCTTGTGGGATTAGTTATGTTTCTTTGATTCTCATGAGATCAAGAATATTTCCATATATTTATTGGCCATTATAGTTTCCTTTTTGTGAAAAATTTATATCTTGTAATCATTTTATATTGGCTTGGCTTGGCCTTTATTTCTTCTATTTCTTCCTCCTTCTTTTCTTCTCTATTTCTAGGAACATTTCATCAGTCCCTTATCCTTTACAATGATATATATTATACAATATATCCCCCTTTGTAGCTCATTTTTCTCACTTTGTTATAATATCTTTAGGAGCACATTTAAAAAAAAATTTTCATGCATTTAAATAATCAATCTTCTTATTTATGGTTTGAGTTTTTTTTTTTAGGTTACTTAAGAAATAGTATCCTGTGGATACAAATTTATTATTTATACATTTCAGAGTTTGCTTTTCACATTTAGGTCTTTAATCCAGCTGGAATTTATTTTTGCTGTATGGTGTGGTGCAGGGATCCATTACATATTTTTTTCCACATGAATAGCTAATTGTTTCAGAACCATTTAGCAAATAGTTCATATTTTTCCACTGATCTGCAATGCCATCTTTGCCTTATGTCAAGTTACCACGTGTGCGTGAGTGAGTTCTTTATTCTACTTGTCCGTATGTGTGCAAATACCATATTCTCTAAATGACTGGTTTTAGAAGACTCGATATCTTATGTTATTACCTTGCTCTTCTTTCAAATAATATTTTGGCATTTCTTGCTTGCTTTTCCATATAAAGTTTAGAATTATAATTTAAAATTGCATTGAATTTATAGATTAATGAGATAATAAACATCTTTATCATTTATCTCTCATTTTGTTGCTTATTAAAGTATTTTCATAAAATTTTATATCATTTGTTTCCTAGAAGTGATGCTCAGATTTGCTAGATTTGTTTCTAAGATCTTGTAGTTTTAAAAATTTTATTTTATTATTATGCATGTAGTTAAATGGCATTTCCTAACTTTGGCTTTTGTTATAAAAGCATGCAATTAATTGTATAAGTAATTTACAAGTGTCTTTTTCTGAATCATCTTATTAATTTTAATAATGTGTTCATAGAGTTTATTGGATTTTATCTAGCAATTTTAAGCTCTAAAATAAATGCAAAACAAAATAGAACTGAATCCCAAGTCCAATGGAAATTTGTAAATTCCTTCTTCATATGCCATTGTCATGTATTTATTATTATTATTACTATTTTGAAAAAGATGGAGTTTTAAATTTACAAGGCTGACTTATCAACCAAGAATTCATCTTAATTCATTCAAGTTTTGATAAATGTTCTGTCATATGCTTTACTGGAATTTTAATATCTATCACGTCTTTTTTCCTCTTTTGTCTTCATCATATCAAGAAAAATTCAGTTCTCAAACTTTAGTGACACAATTGTTTCTACAGAACTTTCTGCTATTCTTTGCAGATTATTAAAGCATTTATTATTACTATTATTATTACTATTTTGCTATTAAGGCAATATAGTCTCAATGAGGGAAGAGGATATAGTGTAAGAGGCTTGGGGAGAATGGTACAGTTTTTAAAATACTGTTGTAAGGTATGGAAAAACAGCTGATTAGACACCTTGGTACTGAGGTCTCCAAATGTTGACTTGGAGGTATTTTCAATCTGCCATTGGTATGTCAGTGCAAAATATCCACACTTCTACTATTGTGTTAGTCCCACTATATTATTATTTTTGTTACCACTAGACTGGGAGATCTTCAAGGTCAGGGTCATAACTTTTAAAGTTTTGATTCCATAAATCTAATAAAACATCTCACATATAGCCCAGGCTCACAAAGTATTTGATAAATTCATTGCCCCTCCTACACCCCCACAGAGAAGCCTGTGATGCTCTTTGAGTAGGCCATCTTTACCTCTAAGACAACCCATATTAGGTTTTGGAGTCATTATCTGTTTTCAGGCATTAGTCAGGGTCAGCTTCAAAGCAAATAGGGTTTGAATTCTAATTGTCCATGTATATTTAGTTCCTCAAGACTTTTTCACAGAGCTCATTTCACAATAGCTTTTAGATTTAAAAAACAAGATTCTTGGCCAGGCGTGGTGGCTCACGCCTGTAATCCCAGCACTTTGGGAGGCCGAGGCGGGCAGATCACGAGTTCAGGAGATCGAGACCATCCTGGCTAACACGGTGAAACCCCGTCTCTACTGAAAATACAAAAAAATTAGCCGGGCGTGGTGGCGGGCGCCTGCAGTCCCAGCTACTCGGGAGGCTGAGGCAGGAGAATGGCGTGAACCCGGGAGGAGGAGCTTGCGGTGAGCCGAGATCGCGCCACTGCATTCCAGCCTGGGCGACAGAGTGAGACTCCATCTCAAAAAAACCAAAAACAAACAAACAAACAAAAAACAAAGAAAAAAACAAGATTCTTGATATTTTAGTAGGAAGCCTCTCCCGAGCTACCTGAGTTGCTGAAAGACAGCCCCTCATGAACTCCATATGCTTCTGTGTAAGATTGCATCAGATTTTCTTGATCAGTTTGTATATGAAATTCCAATTACAGATTTGGACCCTAAAGGTCACCCATCTGCATGCTTTAAAATGCAGCAGCTGAGAATTATTTAATTTAATTCTTAAGAATTTTTATGTTTTTCAAAATGTTGACTCACTTTATTTTTCTCTAAGCTTCCATTTTACCTATAAAATAGGGGTAATACAATGTTCCATGTTTTTGGTCTATATGAAGAACAAACTAAACGTTATATACTAACAATGTTAGGTTTTACCTGAGTCCTTTGCTCCCAGAAAACAACCAAGGGTTTAAAAATTATCTCACCAACCACCACTCCTTTGGGTTCCAGGAAATGGCTAATCTTTTTTTTTTTTTTTTTTTTTTTTGAGACAGAGTCTCGCTCTGTCGCCCAGGCTGGAGTGCAGTAGCGCCATCTCGGCTCACTGCAAGCTCGGCCTCCCAGGTTCATGCCGTTCTCCTGCCTCAGCCTCCCGAGTAGCTGGGACTACAGGCGCCCGCCACCACGCCCGGCTAATTTTTTTGTATTTTCAGTAGAGACGGGGTTTCACCGTGTTAGCCAGGATGGTCTCGATCTCCTGAACTCGTGATCCGCCCGCCTTGGCCTCCCAAAGTGCTGGGATTACAGACGTGAGACACCGCGCCCAGCCGGGAATGTCTAATCTTAAAGGAGTGTGGTGCTCTTGCATGTTCTGAGGTAAGCTCCACTTCTACCTTTCTTCAATGACTTGGCTAAGATCCCTTACTATCCTGTCTCATGACACCCATGACTTAGGGATGATTCCCTTGTCTGTCCACCTCTACAAAACCCCCAAGTCCCCTTCCTTTTCTTTGATGTTTCTCATTCATAAATGTTCTCTCTATTGCAATAGCCTAAATAAAATAATCTCCTGTATTGTTTAGTGCATTTTGCCTTTGATAGTACAGATAATCTAGCATGGTGCTTATGTACCTATCAATAAAAGTTTGTTCTTTTATGCTTTCCCTATTATCCTGCCTTATCCTCCAAAATTCTTTTAATTCACACCCTGAAGACATCTACAACTTTTTGGAGACCTATTATTTGCTGACTGTCAGCATTTATCTCTTCTATTGTGCCTCTGAAATATTTGTGCCTTGCATGTTTCTTCTGTTGGACATGAATCGCTATGTTGTCTGACCATGCAAGAAATTCCAACTCATGGTTTCATTTAGCAGACTTTACTAAGAAAGGACTGTGTTATCTTTAAAGAGTTAAGAAAAATATATATGTATATATACATATTTTTTCCACATGCAGGAAAATTTCATAGATCATGTATTTTCTACTCAATAAAATTTCAGTGAACACACCCCTATAACCATCATTCTGATTAATAAATAAAATATAACCAGGACCCAACTAGACTTCTACCCCTTCCAAGTCAACACTTTATCCACTCCTCCCCAAGGGCAACTACTACCCTGACTTCTAATACTATACATTATTTTTGGCTTTTTAATCGTTACAGAAATGAATTCATGCAGTGTTTATTACATATTCATTCAGTTTTCTCTAGTATGAATACATCCTAATTTATCTATATCACTATTAATTGATATTTCATTTTTTTCTAGTGTTGGCTTTTATGAACCATATATATGTATGTGTGTGTATATATATCCCTTTTTGCTGCATGAATGTGTACATTTAAGAATGTGTACATTAAGGTATGTATTTAAGAGTACAACTGTTGCATCAAGGACTAGCTCCAGTATTTATTAAAGGGTTTTTCAGATTTGCATACTTCAATCAGTAGTGTATGAGATTTCTAGTTTTTCCACATTCTTAGCACTGATTTGTTCTCCATCCCTATAGTTTTATCTCTTGGGAATGTTATTTAAATGGAATTATACAGTATGTACCTTCTTGAGACTGGTTCTTCTTACTCTGGGTAATGTTTTTGAGAGCAATCCAAGTTGTTGGGTATATCAATAGTCCATTCCTTTGTATTGCTAAATAGTATTCATTGTATGGATACACTTTAGTTTTTGTTTTACTCAACCATTGAACTACATTTGGATTATTTCCAGTTTTTGGTGATTATGAATAGAGCCATATAAACATTTGTGAACAAATTTTTGTGTGGCTGTAAGTTGGGTAATAAATAAAAGTACGATTGTGGTTCACATAGATAAAAAATATGTTTAACGTTAGAAAAAAACAACAAAGTGTTTTTCAGAGTAGCTGTCCCATTTGTATTTCTGTCAGCAGTGCATGAGAATTTCACCTGCTCCACATTCTTGGAAGCATTTGGTATGAGTAGATTTTTTATTTTAGCCATTTTAATACATGTACAGCAGTATCTCATAACAGTTTTAATTGCTAATGATTTTAACTTTTTAAAATTTATTTGTCATTCACGGATCTTTTTTGGTAAACTTTCTATTTTGCTGATTTTTTTTTTTTTTTTTTGAGATGGAGTTTCATTCTTGTTGCCCAGGCCGGAGTGCAATGGCGCGATCTTGGCTCACCGCAACATCCGCCTCCCAGGTTCAAGCGATTCTGCTGCCTCAGCCTCCCTAGTAGCTGGGATTACAGGCATGTGCCACCACGCCCGGCTAATTTTGTATTTTTAGTAGAGACGGGGTTTCTCCATGTTGGTCAGGCTGGTCTTGAACTCCTGACGTCAGGTGATCCGCCCGCCTCAGCCTCCCGAAGTGCTGAGATTACAGGCATGAGCCACCGCGCCCGGCCTTATTTTGCTGATTTTTAACTGGGTTGTTCCTTATTGTTGAGTTAGACAGTTTTTAAAATATTTTGGTTGCAAGTGCTTTATTGGATTTGTACTTTGCAAATATTTCCTCTCAATCTGTAGCTTCTCTTTTCATTCTCCTGTTAGTATTTTCAGCAACGCGTTTTTGAAAATTATGATAAATTTCAATTTACCAATTTGTTTTAAAGTATCATGGTTTTGGTATCGTAACTAAGAACATTTTTCCTAACCCCAAGTATTTTCTTCTATATTTTCTTCTAAAATTTTATAGTTTTATATTTTACCTTTAGGTCTTGGTCTCTTTTGTGTTAATTAGCATAGATGTGAAGTTTAAGTCAAAGGTTAACATTTTTATATAAACGTCCAATTTTTACAATAACATTTGTTAAAAAGCTATCCTTTCTCCATTAAATTAACTGTGTATGTTTATTAAAAATCAATGCACACATTCTGAATTTGTCAAAGTTTTTTTCTGTCAACTAATAAAATTGTGTTTTTTGTTAGACTATTAATATGATGGATTGCATTGATTAATTTTAAATATTTATATATTTAATTATTTATTTTTATTGATACATATTAGAGGTACATATGTCCAGGGCACAGGAGATAATTTGATACATTCGTAAAATGAAATAAGAGTAATTGGGATATTCATCATCTTAAACATTTATAGTTTCTTTACACTAGGAACATTCAAATTATTCTCATTTGTCTATTTTAAAATGCATGATCAATTAACGTTAACTATACCCACCCAACTAATCTATCAAGCACCAGGTCTTATTTCTTCTGTCTGAGTGTATATTTCTACCCCCAATCAACCTCTCCTCATCCCTCCTTGCCATCATCCTTCCTGGTCTCTAGTAACCACCAATCTACTATTCTTGTATTCATCATCTTTGCATTCACTTCTTATGTGATATTTGTTTATGCATGTGTACATACACACACATATATGCCAGGTTTTATTTGCTAATACCTCAAAGAAAATTTTTGTATCTAAGATTATGAAGAATTTTGAATCTACGTAATTTTTGAAGGCATTTTAGCTAAAGATTCTATTTCTTTATAGGAATAGGACTATTTGGTAGGTAGTTTGTCGTTTTCAAGAAATTGAGTCATTTAATCTAACTTGTTGAATTTACATCCATAGAGTCTTTCATAAAAATTCTTTTTTTATCTTTATAATATCTCTAGTGTATGTAGTAATATTTCTGATATTTATAATTTGTGTCTTCTCAGTTTTTTGTCAGTTTTACTGGCAATTTATTAATTTTATTGATTTATTCAAAGAATCAGCTTTTGGTTTTATTGGTTTTCTCTATTGTTTTTCTATATTAATTTATCAATTTTTGTTTTTATCTGTATTATTTCCTGGCTTATGTTTGCTTTGGGTTTATATTTGCTGTTCTAATTAATGCTATAAATGTGATGCTATAAATAAACATTTAGTGCTATAAATTTCCTTCTACACACTGTTTTAATTGCATACACAACATTTGATATGTTGTATTTTCATTTTTATTCAGTTCAAAATATTTTCAGATGAGATCGGGCACATTCAGGGTGGTATGACCGTAGACGCCAGTTCAAAATATTCTCAAATTGTCCTTGAGATTTCCTCTTGAACCCACTGCTTATTTTAAAGTGTATTGTTTAAGTATGTAGGGCTTCCCCTGTTATCGTCTTGCAATGGTCAATAGTATAAATCTATTGTAGTATAATGCAGCATAATGCAAATAATATTTTGCATTATTTTAATATTTTAAAAGTTTAATTTTGTATTCTGCAGTTGTTGGATGCAGTATTCTTCGAATTGTTTTTCTGTACTGTACTCCTTTTCCTCTCCTTCTAAGTCTGCTTTGATACAAATTTTAGATCTTTTGATGTCCCACCAGTTCCCTGAGACTGATTGTTTGTTTTACCTTTTTTATCTCTGTTGTTCACATTCATCTACTTCACATTCACTGGCTCTCTCCATCATCTCCATTCTGCTTTTAGGCTCATTCAGTGAGGTTTTGTTTTATTATTATTGTGGTTATTATGTTGTTCAGTTCTAAAAGTTCTGTATGGTTCTTTATATCTTCTCTTATTTGCTAAGACAATCTATATTTTCATTCATTTCAAGAATGTTAGCCCTTCTTGGAACACTTTAATAATCCTTGATTTAAAGTCTTTATTTGATATTTACAATGTTTTGTTGTTTCTGCATTGACAACTGTTGATCCTCTCCTCATGTGAGTTGAGACTCTCCTGGTTCTTTGTATGCTGTGTAATTTTGGAATGTATTCAAGATATTTTCAATACCAAGTTATGGGAATCTGGATCTTTCTAAAGTCCTATGGGAACTGTTGTTATTTTTCCTTTAGCAGGCAATCAACTCAATTGTGTTTAGGCCACAAATTTTAACTAGCCTATTATTTAAATTACAAAATGTCAGTTTAGTTTTCAAAGACTTTGCAGTGCTGTTTGGTGTGTGCTAACCAATGGATAGTCTGGAACCTAAGAGACAGTATATCCCACAGTTTTCTCAAAGCCTTTTATATATTGTTTAGGGTTAGATCTGTGAATAGGCAGCTTAGGAGTCAGCCCAAGAGCTCATGAGTAACATTAAGCAGTCATTTTTTCTAAACTGCTCACTGTAATTTCGCTGTACTTTTTAGCTTCCTGAAGGTCTCCATTTCTGTTGTCCATCAGGAAGGCTTGGACAATAGCTACTTCACTCTGCCTTGACTGTGTCTGTGTCCAGAACTAAGTGATGGAAAGGGAGGAGGAGAAAAAAAAAGCAACAGGCATTCTCCCCATCCTCCTCGGGTCACACCTTCTCTGATCAGAGAGTTTCAGGTGCCTGCGGGTCCCCTCTGCTGCCACTGTCACTACACCATCACAGCTACACAAGAGAGTAGAATAAAGAAAACAAAACAAAAAACAACCAAAAAAAACTCCCAGGGGATTTATTTCTACTCCATGGTTTAGGATCCTTCTCTTCTGCAACTCAAGCTAAAACTAGAGCAAATGTCCTGGTGTTCCCTCTGGAGCTGACTTCTAAGTTGAAGGATGCCTTAAGTCCAGAGCTGTGGATATCAGGGGGAAAAAAATAAAAATTTACTTTTACGTTTCTGGTACATGAAATTCTGATCTGTCCTTTTCATCCAGCTACTTTTAAGATTTTCTCTTTGTCTTTGGTTTTTAGTAGTTTTATTCTAATTTTTGTAGATACATTTTTTATTATATGCAAACTGGCTGGGGTTTATCATATTTGTTAAATTTCTTTATACCTTTTATCTCAGCTGTTATCTCTTCAAATAGTGTTACTTCCTTCTCTTCTTATTCTCCTTCTAGTATTCTAATCACACATATGTCATACCTTAGTGTTTTTTTTTTTAATGTCATCGATGTCTCTTACCTTCTTTCCAGAAATAAGCATATTTTCCCCCTGTGCTTCACTTTCAATACATTTTACTGACCTCTCTTCTCGTGCATTCATCTTTCCTTTAGCTTATCTGCCCTATTATTAAAAGCATCTATGAGGTTTCTAAATTTAGTTATTTAATTGTTTGAGCAGAGTATATCCATTTGATTCCTTTCTATAATAAAAATTACCTGATAAAATTTTTCTCACTATTTTTTAATACTGTAATTATGATTATTTTAACATTTCCATCTAGTAACTCCAATATCTAGACTTCTAGTGGATTGTTTTTATTGTTCATTTTTATCATAATTTCTGGTCATTTCATCTTGTCTCTTAGTACATTTTAATTTTTACTTGACTACAGGATATTTTGTACAAAAAATCATAGAAATTATTTGAGGATCTAGGCAATGTGCTCTATCTCCAGAGAGGATTTACTTTTGCTTCTGTCAGACATATCACTTTAATTCAATCTGACATTATGCTCAGCTTTGAATCCCAGTTTTGGTCTTTGCAAAACTTTCATTTGTTTTCTCTCACAAGTAGGGTGTAGCCCTTTGGGGTATACCTAAAAGTGCTGAAAACTCTGTTGACCTTTTCGGCCTATTTGCCAGTACCTGCTAATTAGCAAACACCTCCAATGTAAAAGCAGAGCTGAAGGTTAAGATCACTTCTCTGTTCTTTCCTTCTTTCTGCCATCTTGCCTACTCAAGTCTTTGATGCCTTATAACCTCTCTTATAAAGAGATATTCTGGGAGTATTCAGTGGAAGTGTTCTTCTGACAGTCTAATTCATCTTGAAGCAAAAGTCCCAGTTTCATTTTATATTTTTATGTTTTTCTGGAAAGAATAAAATTCAATGGAATATGTTTTACAAATCTCAAATGTTACAATACAAACAAAGTATTCTTAAAGCATTATAATATTTTCCATTTAAAAACCACACTATGTTTTCCAGCAAAGAATTATGTTTTATCAGGCTTATAAGAGAAACTTACTTAAAAGACTGTGACAATATTTTCCTCAATAATTGGGATCAATTTTATGTTGAAAAATTCTAAATTTTTATCACTATTATTTACAATAAGATAGCTAATTTTCCTGAGAATTTGCTACATATCAGCAACTATGCAAGCTGCATGATCAGTATTTAGTAAAATCAACTAAAATAAAAAAGGTTTCTACTGAAATTATAACAGTGGTCAGTCAATGGAATTCTGTTCCTAAATCAATGTATTTTATGTCTTCTTTACTATTTCAGAAGTATAATGGATATGAGAAGAGACAACTTTCCTCAGTATTTCCTATTTGGTATATCGAGCTAAGGGGTCAAAAACACATTTTCTCCAGCAATTCAATCTGTATATTGTTATATTCAATAGCCTAACTCAGCTGCTTTACATGTGGTGAAGAGTACTTGACCCTGCCCTGTCTATTCACTGCCTTACATGCTCTGAACCTTCTTAGTTAGAAATCCAGAGAGCATTTGTGTTTGGTTCAATTGTGTACAAATTGGCATAGTCCCCTAGCATCTTGGACAAAAGTTCCAAGCTAAGAGATACATGCCTGAAACCAACTCACTACCTGCTCAGCTCTTCTACTTTGGAAGAGTCTGCATTGTTGGCAATGCAAGAGAAGGAATATGTAAAGGTATTAATCAGATTCTGTTTCAGAGACCACGATGTCCTAGACACATAGATCCACTGGGAAGTGCTTTAATTATTATATAAATTGTGGTCTTCATGGTGAGTGGGAGAACTGCCCATCACTATCACTTCTGCACTGTCCTTTCCTTCTGCTTAATCTGTTATTACACACACACGCACACACACACACATACACACACAAGACTGGTGTCAACCCTTCGAGCTATGATAAAAGAGAGAAGACTGATGCTTACATACTTTTTGTTTTTACAAGTTTATCTCCCCTTCCTTAGGACAGGAAGCTATAAACTAACCCCATCCCCGCCTTCTGGCACTTAAATAAATACAATAAAAATAAAATTACCTCCAACTGAAATCACACTGTTTCACTTGTTTCGGATAAAAATCAAGGTATTTACAGTTGCCACTCAAAAAAAAAATGTCCTTGGCTTCCAGAAACTCAGCGCATTAATCCTCTGGAAACATGTTAGCGTTAAAAAGTAAGTCTGGAAAGCATCTAAATGGCCAATCTGACTTTTTTCTTGTTTCCCTAAACTGGGGGATTTTTGTAAATTATGTAATCTAATTAAAGTATACTCAATTTCAATAGTCATTAGAGCTACTTCAAATATTTTCCAATATTTTATAGAGGAACTTTCTAAAAGTTTTTTTGAATCGTGAATAAAACATTCTGGATGGCAGCAAGACTAAATTATTCTGGGCAAGAACTATTAGTATATTAAAAATAAGCATTAGACTTTGGGGAGAAAAATGTACAGGGTGTAACATTTTTCATGTGGTTACAATGAAGTAAGGGATTTGAAGGCAAAAACAAATCTGGCAAATTATAAGTTAGGGTAGTAATTCAAGGAAGTCATAAAATAGAAGACTTTTATTGCACCATGGAGACAGTTTGGTGCTATTAGTGGATTAAAAAGCATGTGGGACTGTGAGGCTGGAAAAGATGGAAGCTTGAAAGAGTTGGTGGGTTAAATATTAACAAAGAAAAGATGATGTTTACAGACAGTTTCTGCAAACATGCTCTAATAAATAAGATCCTCCAAGCATTCAAAAATAGAACTGTGCAAAGCCACAAAAAATCTATGCTATTGATCTTCCCACCAAACTTGGTCTTCCTCAGCAATGCATGACTTCACTGTCATCAGAATTTGTGTTAGTCCTTCTGGAGAATGTTGCCAGCATAGTCAAAACCTAGTAAAAATAGGAAAAAAAAGGTGACAATTTTGCACTTGTCTTTAAAAACTAGCTACAGTGCACTGAAAGCAGTAAAGTGTGGTGGAAATGTGCGAATGTGAGCTTCAAACAGACCTGAGCTTACATTCTCAAGTCGTACAAGTTAGCCTCTCTGAGCCTCAGATTCCTTATCTGTAGAACTGAGATCACCATACGCAATTCTCAGGGTTGCTTTTTAGTGTAAAAGTTGCTTTTTTAAAGTTTAATGTGCATATTAAACACCCGTAGAATACTGCTGAAATGCAAATCCAATTCTGTAAATCTGGGGTAGGATCCTGAGTGTTTAGCAAGCTCCCAGGTGATGCCTGTGCTGCTAATCCCAGGGGCACATTTTGATAGAGAAGCTTCAAATCATCAAAGCATTTAGTGTACACTTAATTAACCTGCCACTTAATTTTAATACTAACATTTTGCTTTTGTTCACAGTAATTTTTCTATAATATTTCTACATCAATCTTTTTAGGCTTACAAAATAGCCCTTGGAAAAAAAAAAAAAACGAGGTATTGCCATCCTAAGAGGAAGCACAGACACATTACAACGAGTGGATATGTCCATGGTCTTGAATAGAGGTGAGACATAGCCCTGTGAGAGTCATTCACTGAGTCTTCAATACTGGGTGTATTGAAGACTAGAATTTTTAAATTTATTTACCTTTTCAGCTAATTGCACAGCTTTTAATGCAATGAAAGGAAGGAAACCAAAAGCCTTGACCATCAATGCATTATTAAAAATATATATATATAATAAGCTCATTTAAAATGTCTGAAAAGTGTGATATTAAAATAACCACATTTGTAGACATCAGGAAGAGCTTAGTGAAAAAACATTTCAAGTCCTGCCCACCACATGTAAATAAACTCTTTGGAAGGCTTCACTCAAGAGCCTTGGCAAAGCTTAAAACAAACTAACAGTAAGTGATGCTGGGGGTTAACAAGAAAAATCACCTAGAATAGGCTTTTAAGAAAAGACAAGCTGCTCTAATAACAACTAGACAATTATCTGAGCTGTAGCAGGCTTCAAATGTTTGTATCTCCTACTGTAATGGGTTTTCCAAAGAGAAAAGACTATCAGGTACTGATTTTATAACAATAATCTAGCATCTTTTCATGAATTATTTTCATCTTATTAGTTTCATTAACACATTTGAGTACTAAGATTAAGTAGATGTTGCATAAAATGTCCTTTGTACTTTTTCATTTTATCTTTTAATGTAATTTTTAGAACTAGGTAAGGGTAATTAAAGGAAAGAAGTAAAAATTAACTCTATTTGGACATACTATACTCGAATGAAATGTGCTGAATGAACACAATGTATCCAGTTTTCTTTAAGAAGCTAATAAAATTATAAAGTACACATTCTTTGTTATAAAAGAATGAAGAGCTAAATATCTAGGCATGAGACAAAGCTTAGAGATGGGTGTTAATGGCTGTGGGTTGACTCTGCACAGCACTGCATTTTATTGTGCTTGTTTTGTTTTGTGCTTTGCTAAAACCAAACAGGATGTATACCCCAAAGGGTTCCTTCTCATTGTAAGATTGAAAATCATAGCATTTTTTTCTATCAAAAAATATAACTGTTCTTATAGGGGAAAATATGCTTCTAAAAGCATTATTTAAATTTTTTTCACATGGCAAGACCCATATCATTGCATTTCTTCTCAAAAGGTTGGTGAAGCAAAGAAGGAAAACAAACTATTTATAGACACCAGATATTTAACCATACTTGGGAAGGAAACAATGATATTACCATAGTCATAGTATTGTGGTAAACCTGAAGAAACTGTAGGTCACATGGGCAGAAATAAACTACCATCTGCTTCTACCAGCAGGTGGATGAGAAAACATACAGCCTTTCTCACTAATTACCTACAACACCATCTAACTCTAAATATTTTGCATGTAGAGATTTCCGTTCTATGTTTATAAATACACATATAGGACAAAGAAACACTTATTTTAAAGATCTTAATATCTTGTCTGTTAAGCAATTAGTATTTAGGAGAGGGGCTATGTTGACAGCTCTGCAAACAGAAGTTTCTGATTCATCTGCTAAAGAGGTACTCGCATACCTTGGCAGGCTTCCTCACTCTGCTTTGTTGAATGGTTTACCCATATTCTACATATAACCACCTTGTCTTTCCCAAACCACCTTGGATATCTAGCTCAACAATTAATCTGTTAAATATTAGAGTAGAGTAGCGTAGTCTGTTCATTCCTTGAATCGAGAAATGTCAATTTAATGTCAAAATATTTTATTTTATTTTATTTTCTCATAGAGGCACCTGTGCTATTTAATCACATCAACAACAAATAATTATAAATGAAGCAAAAAATCCAATTATGAATTCCAGGGAAGTAAAATATGCTGTAACCATTATCCATGAAGTTGCTTTCATACTTCTTTAGCATAACCATTTGGGCATGTGAGCATGTTTGTGTGACAGCAAATTTTAACTACACACTAAAGTCTATCTTCTCTTCTTCTTCTTCCTGGAAAGAGCTGGGTTACATTTTGCAGACTCCCTTGCAGTGAGGCATGGCTGTGTGACTGAATTCCAACAAACAGGATGTGAGCAAACTTGAAGGGTATCACTTTCAGGTTTCATCCACTAGACACTTCTGTGCATGTTCTTCCATGCTTGGCTCCTTGACCAGGATGGGGGTAACCAGGGTGAACATAAAATATAGGTGTGGAAGGAACCAACACCATGGCTACTGAAAATCCTAGACTTTTTACCCACTCAGAGTTTTCATGTTAACAAGGAAAAAAAATCTACTGTTTTTGAGACATTATGCATTTGGGAATCCATTGTTATAGCAGTTGACAATATCCTATATCGTTAGACAGCAGTCCCGAAAAGTTTGAAAATCAATTTGCTGTATTTTTGAGTAGCCTAATGCTTAATCAATCCAAGGTACTCTTCATTCTATTTTCAACACATTGGGGATATCTATTAAAGTTTTCCTTAAAAGTTCATATTAATTATTTATATTTGTTCATTCCTAGGACAGGAGAATACTATTGCCAAAAAAGGGGGGATTTTTAGAGATAAGTTTGCTGATTGTGAAAGCAAAAAATAAAAATAAAATAAAATAAAAAACAAAAAATACCCTAAAGTTTAGTATGTAGAGAGGAAACAGAAGAAACAGAATTAACAAATAAAAATAGAGGATTCCCAGTAAAATTTGAATTTTAGATGAATAACTACATTCTTTTAGGTATAAATATGTCTAACATGATATAACAGGCAAAGCAGGACTTGCTTGTACTAAACTTTTTTCGTAATATCTGAAATTCAAATTTAAATAGATGTTCAGTATTTTATCTGGAATCTCTAATCAGAATGGACACAGTCAAAACACAAATTAATTTACTGAAAAAGTCAGGTTGAATTGGAAAACACTGGATAAAAATTAAAAAGAAGAGCAATTTAAAAATGAACTTAAAGGATGAGGATAGAAGCAATATTACTAACAAATAATAAAGCACTCAGAAGAAAATAATAGTAGAAAAAAGATTAAAACAATTGAATAAATTATGATGAAAAAATCACATAATAAAACAGAAAAGAAGGACTTTAGAAGACAAGGGATGACAGATTAGTCATATGATAGTAAAATTGAAGAACACAAAAGACAAAGAGCTTCTAAGCTAAGATCTAATTCTAAGAATAAATTCTAGGAAAAATTTTAAAAGCAATTCTAAGAGATCCTAGAATGGAAGGAGAAAAGGGTAGATCATACACAAATGCAAAAGAATCAGTTTTCCAGCAGACAATTTGGATGAGAGGATAATTCAACACAATCCTCAAGATTAATACAAAGCCACTGGCTTCAGCAGTAGAGTAGTGTACCAGCTGGCTTGTCAGGCATTCATTTATTAGCAAGATAGCCTTCATTCTAGAATTCATTAATTTATTCCACAAATAGTAAGATTTTACAAAGTGTTCTCTATGCGCAGCATTGATCTCTCTAAACACTGAAAGTTTAGATGCAAGAGCTTTGCTTAAATCTCAATGTATTAAATGTATTACATCCTTCTAAACCAGCATGTCCTGCAATGTGATGTAGAACACTGGTGTTCAACAACTGCTAAATAAGTTTGTTAAAAGAAAAAAAAAGGACAAAAGGACACTTATGTTAGGAAATGACATATCTTAGAGATTAACATTGCATGTTGCATATAAAATACTAAAAAATCAAAAAAGAAATCCAACTTTGTTTAACTCAGCACTTCTTATTAAACACAATTGACCACAGAAAACTTTTTTTTTTTTTTTTTTTCAGGAATACCAAGTAAGCATTTCTAGAAACCCCAGTGGCCTGGGGAACTCAGTTTAGGAAAATTAGTGTTTTCATTTAAAAAATAATTAACATAACATAATAAAATTCAATAGTAAAAACAGTTACACATTGAATGGAATACATAAACTATATCAGCTATGATCTTTAGCCATATAAATAAAAAAAGTACCATCTCACTTCTTTATGTCATTTGTTTAAGCATTTTTCTTATTTCATATTTATTGAATGTGCTTTTGCAAAAACAGTCACAAGAAAAAAACACACTGAAGCAACTAAAGTTGGTGCTGAAATTTATACCTGACAGTACTTAACTACAGAAGTATTAAAATTACTATGGTACACATGGGGACTCATAGGCCCAGGATTTACTATCACTGAAATCACCCCTGAGTAGCTGAGTACATTACAAAACACAACACTATAAAGGAGACTGCAATATGGGAACAATGTGCTAGGAAAGCATTTCAGTAAATAAAAACTCAGCAGACTTTATGGCTGTTGGTAATACTTGTCACTTAATATAGTTTATAAAAATTTCCTTATTAAATTTTGTAGGGCAGAATAGCACATCTTCCAATTTCTAACAGTGATGTTGACATAGGTTTAAAAAAGCTGCAGCTGCAGTCTTCCCAGACCTTCCTCCCTGACGTTATTACAATACGTGTTGTTCTGAAATTTTCAATTCAGCTATAAACAATCTACTTTATCAACAACATGCTTTAGCACTTTTTGAAATGGTGCTTTGAGGCAGATAAATGAAAATAAGGATGGCAGAGTGCCAATAAAAATTCTGCAGACTGTATCTTCAGTGCAGTAAAGGCTAAGGCAGCACAAGGTTTTATGTATTTATTTATTTACTGTTGATTCCAGAATTCATTTCTCTCCTTACCATAGCTGCGTTATTTTTGTTGATTCTTTGTTCTAATCCCAGCTGACACTTTTAGATAGTAATGGCTCACACACTTTTAATTAATACTAAAAGAAGTGGATTTTTTGTTTTTTGCTTTAGAAATCTGGCATTTTGTCATTGCTTTACTTGTCTACAGGGTAAATGGAGGTTACATTCTGAAGTTTAGGACATATTAAAAGTGCCATTTACTGCCCAAAAACTCAGCCATTTTGAATGTATAAGACCCGGATTCCAAACTGAGATCTCTTTACTCTAAAGCATTTTTATGTAAAAGATAGTTACGCGCTTTTAGGATTCTTCACAAAGTTTGCTCTAAAACGATCTGTTATGTGAAATAACAATGAAAAATAAAAGTTATTATATGTTATGAAAGAAAAGAGGCTGTGAAATTGAATTTCTCCACTTCATACTGGTTTATGATGAGAACTTCAAATTCCAGTTTAATTCTCTGTAAGTAAATTTTAATTTTATCCACACTAATTAAAGACTTGCTATTTGATATTAGTTTGGAAATACCCAATTACAAAATACATTTTAACATTATGGGCTTTCAATTCTAAAAAGATGTCCTAAGGGATCCCTTCTTAGTAGTCAGTAATTTTATTGAGTTTGTAGTCAAATCACATATGTCCATGATCCGAAGTCTTCCACAAACCTAGCAAAATTTTATTCATTTTGTAATTATAATGAAATGATTCGTATGATAAGCTTAGAAAATTTAAATAAAGTTAGATTATAGAGTTCTAACATTGAAAAGTAGATTTTAAAGGGGCACAGTATGAATGCTTACATACAATAAACAATAAATACCAGTGAACTCTACTTTATCTGTGTTTGTCTTTATATTACCTGAAATCTGAAGAATGTTCATGCCAAAATACTGTCCAAATTTAACAGTCTAAAATTTACTGGTCTTTTATTTTTGGTTAAAAATACAATTCCAAAATTATTTGATATTTCATGGCACAGTTATATTTATTTGAAATTAAATATGAAAAGTAAGCCTTTAATGTATTTTCCTATCTCTATCAACAGGAAATAAATGCTCTTATCACCATGAGGAATTTCCAGAAATTCATATATTCTTGAGTATTGATTTAATGGCTATGATAGTTTTATTGTAGCCTCTTTTAATATATATTTTAAATTAGAAATTTAGAAATTATTATAAATTAAAGTATATAAATGCAAGAATTTTGTATTAATAAGGTTGCTACCTCAGCACAATTTCCATGAGGACTCACAAATTGTGAGTGGAATTATAAAACACTCCTAGGTAAAAATTAATACCCTTGGGTAATAATTCTAAACAACATATTTATGGGATTTCAAAAATAAAGTAAATTTGGACACATTCCTGTGACATCTATTCTCCCATCATACTTGACAAATCAAAACTGGATTAGAACCATTCCACTTTGTACTTGAAAACAAAGAGGAAATAAGAATTCTTAAAAAGCACAAAATACAGAACAGAATTAAAGTTCATTTCCACCCACATATACACAACAAAAAGATTAAATAAGGGAAATATAAATGGTTTTTTTAATGGATAACAAATGACAAAGTTATCTCTGGACTGTTCCATAGCCAGCCTCGCTCGGTTTCCTCTAACTCTTTAAATTCACTCCTTTTCTATTCGTACTACTTCCTACTCTAATCACCCCTGAGGCATTCGCCAGGAACTTTTGCACCTATTTTGTGTTTTTCCCACCTCCCTGTCTTCTGCAGTCACCACAGCTGCCTGTCCACCCAAGTCCAAGGATTCTGTAGATTTTTAGCATGTATAGATGATAGGAATGGGCTCATAGGATGAGAGTGTGATATTTGCTACAAACTTTTGGTATTGATCTTCCTATGTACTAGAATCTGCTCACACACCACTCCCACAATTTCCTGAACATGCTCTGTTTCATGATTCTGCCCCTTTTCATATACACTCTACTCAGGTTGTCTTAAGTGACCTACCCTCAGACTCAATCTGGGTAAAACCTTTGCTCTTTCAAGGCCCAGATACATGTTGTTTTTTTCAGTAAAGCCTTTTGCAGCTGCAGGAAGCCAATCATATTCCATGAAGTTCTGTAATTACCGGTCTATATACAGATCACTCCTCACTCAATTCCGAATGATTTGAGGACAGGAATTAAGCCTTATTAATCTTTCAGCTATAGAGTGTTCTAAATATTGTTGACTGAGTAAAAGAACAAAAAGGAGGATTCAATTATGATTCAGCAATAACCTTTTGAACGTTCACATAACACAGATGTTGTGTTAGGACTATAGGAGACACAAATTAAACAAGATGCGAAACTCTCCAGGAGCTTGAGCTCACAGGGTGGAGCTTGCTCCTGTGAGACAGAGACAGGACTGACCATGATGAATGCTGTGACAAGTACTTGGGCCCACTGTGCTCTGTATACAGAGTGATATAGATACTCTGATATCAGGCACAGAGAAAAAGGCAAGCCATCATTTCACCATTTTATTGAGAACATACACTGTGCTAAGTATATTAGAATCATGTCTTTTCATCATTATAAAAGCTGTATGATGATAGGAAATAGTATTATCCCCATTTTACAGATGAGGAAAACAGGACTGAGGTAAAGATACTTGCCTGCCCACTTACTTTGTAAATGACATATTTAAGATTTGAATACAGACTCTGGAGCCCACACACTGTTAATCTTTTGGAAGTCAAAACATTTTATTTAGAAAGCAGTTTGTTTTAGAGGTACTTTTAAATGTAATTCTTTAGTAGGAACCTCTAGCACAATTTGTATTTGAATAGCATTTAATCCTTAAGATAAATTCTGGATAGAACAGGTTAATTAACAAATTCAATATGGCGACACCTCCGCACAAGTGTTCGTGGAGTGAATGTATTCCCTTTTCTAGGGTTTGGGCCACACTGTGTTTAAATAACTTAACTGGCAATTTGAGCATCTGGTGTGTTTATTTAATCTCTCAGCATTTTAGCATCAGATTCTAAAATAGGGAATTATCAGCTCCTACTTCCTCAATCTTATGCTTTTTAACACTGGAAAACTGATGTGATATCCTGAAAAATATGTCCTATAAATACCCAAAAGTGGCTGCTTTTGCTAGAAGTAGCAGTAGTGGCACTATCAGACAGATGTGACCATTTTAAAACTTTTAGAAAAGCTACACATTATTGCTTTTAAACACAGACAACTTGTGAGAAAGAAAAGAACACGGACGTGCACAGTTTAATATGGAATTGGATTTTCTTTGTTACGTACACATGAGAAATACTATCTATCTATCTGAGAAGTAAAAAATGTGAATGAGTAAAGATGTAAGTTGAAAGAGTGCATTGAGTTGGTGGACGAACTATGCAAAAACAAGTTCAAACATGTGAAAATGTGACTTTGGTAATCTTGCCAAGGTCAGAGATGCTGAAGGAAGTATGCTGAGTACAGGCTAGCTCTGCAAGCAAGAGTCAAGGTTTGTTCTACATTCCATTTGGATATCATTCCCCGTGCCCTATATGTCCACCTTTCTTACTTCTATTATGTGCCATATCGCTCCTAGACACAGGAAACACGTTCTAGGAGGAAGAGAAAAGAAAGCCTGAACTTTGAAGCCTGTAAATAAGTTCACTGTGGCGGATCTCGTTAATGCAAATGTTATGACCAGCTAGCCCTAAGAAAGCTGAGCAGAATGAGCCTAGGAGGCCTCCTCTCTGCATGGGCACATGGCACACCCATCAGCACCGACAGAGCTTAAGCATTCATATCGAGGGGCTGCAAACCCCTGGGCAGAGACACACTGTATACACACTAGACATGGAAAATGTATGAGGAAAAAAGATTAACTGACAAAAAGTTAATTAAAACTGCTCTGATTATGAGGTAGAATTTAACAATTACTTTAAAAAATGCAGTGTGACACAGTGCAGCACTGCAGCTGAATTAATCATGAATGAGGAGAGCAATGTTTAATTTTTGTGTGCGGGAGAAAAACACTCAACAGATTTGACAATTAGAACAGGGTAACAGCATTGCATGGCACAATGCAAAGCGGGTTTTCCCAGTGGTTTTTTGGGAGGGAGCTAAGCAGATGTGCTCAAATATTTACAAATGCACAATATTCACACACTCTTCAGCTGCCCACCCTGCTGATTTCGCAAGAAACCGTCTTCAATCTGGAGGCCACTGAGGGAGCGACGTGCACTGCGTCTCACACAACTCCAAGAGCAGCTCAGACAAGGCCCCCACTGACTGCCTCCAGTCCATGCATTGGTTGTAGGAACAGAGAGGGCCAACAAGCTCTTTCAAATACTCAGCTTCCAGGATTCACTTTGTCCCACAAAGTGGGCAGCACATGCAGTTATCATGGATGAGGCAGGGTCTGCTCTGGAACAGCTGTTGTTTGGTGACTGTTCTCAATGAGCATTTCCACAACCCGATACCAGCTCTGTTTAGAAAGTTCACACTTGAAGCTGTGAAGTAGCCAAGATGACCATAAAAACCCCTGCCAGCATGGCCCTGTATAAATGCTTTGCTTTGCAAATTTTAGGCTGAATGTTTACCCACAGAATTATTTCAATTAATATTAGGGCATAGAAGTTTTTTTATATTGCAATTTTATTGAGATATAATTCATATAACATACAATTCATTCATTTAGAGTATATAATTCAAAGACTTATGGCATATTCACAGCATTGTACAACAATCACCACAATCAGTTTTAGAACATCTTTTGTCACCCCAAAAAGAAATACATTGCTCTTTGGTTGCCATTAGCCAATCCTCCCCTTCCCCTAGCCCAAGGCAAACACCAATTTACTTTCTCTGTAGATTCACCTACTCCGTATATTTCATATAAATGGAATCATATTATATGTGGTCTTCTTTCACTGAGCATAATGTTTTCAAGGTTCATCCATTTTGTAGCATGTTTCAGGACTTCATTTTTGTGGCTTAATAATATTCAATTTATGGACATACTCAATTTTATCCACCAATGGACACTTGGTTATTAATACTGCTTCTGTGAACATTTGTGTACAGGTTGTTGTTTGGTCACTTGTTTTCACTTCTCTTGAATATATACCTGGGAGTAGAATGGCTGGGTCGAAACCAAAAAAACTGTGTTTAGTTTTATGAGGAACTGCCAGACAGTAGCTGCACCATTTTACATTGCTACCAGCAGTGGATGAGGGTTCTGATTTTTCCACATCCTTTCGAACTCTGGTTATTATCTATATGTATATTTTATTAAAGCCATTCTAGAGAGTGTGGCTTTGACTTGCATTTCTCTGATACCTAATGATCTTGAGCATCTTTTTATTTTTATTTTATTTTATTTATTTATTTATTTATTATACTTTAAGTTTTAGGGTACATGTGCACATTGTGCAGGTTAGTTACATATGTATACATGTGCCATGCTGGTGCGCTGCACCCACTAACTCGTCATCTAGCAGTAGGTATATCTCCCAATGCTATCCCTCCCCCCTCCCCCCACACCACCACAGTCCCCAGAGTGTGATATTCCCCTTCCTGTGTCCATGTGATCTCATTGTTCAATTCCCACCTATGAGTGAGAATATGTGGTGTTTGGTTTTTTGTTCTTGTGATAGTTTACTGAGAATGATGATTTCCAATTTCATCCATGTCCCTACAAAGGACATGAACTCATCATTTTTTATGGCTGCATAGTATTCCATGGTGTATATGTGCCACATTTTCTTAATCCAGTCTATCATTGTTGGACATTTGTGTTGGTTCCAAGTCTTTGCTATTGTGAATAATGCTGCAATAAACATACGTGTGCATGTGTCTTTATAGCAGCATGATTTATAGTCCTTTGGGTATATACCCAGTAATGGGATGGCTGGGTCAAATGGTATTTCTAGTTCTAGATCCCTGAGGAATCGCCACACTGACTTCCACAATGGTTGAACTAGTTTATAGTCCCACCAACAGTGTAAAAGTGTTCCTATTTCTCCACATCCTCTCCAGCACCTGTTGTTTCCTGACTTTTTAATGATTGCCATTCTAACTGGTGTGAGATGGTATCTCATTGTGGTTTTGATTTGCATTTCTCTGATGGCCAGTGATGATGAGCATTTTTTCATGTGTCTTTTGGCTGCATAAATGTCTTCTTTTGAGAAGTGTCTGTTCATGTCCTTCGCCCACTTTTTGATGGGGTTGTTTGTTTTTTTCTTGTAAATTTGTTTGAGTTCATTGTAGATTCTGGATATTAGCCCTTTGTCAGATGAGTAGGTTGCAAAAATTTTCTCCCATTCTGTAGGTTGCCTGTTCACTCTGATGGTAGTTTCTTTTGCTGTGCAGAAGCTCTTTAGTTTAATTAGATCCCATTTGTCAATTTTGTCTTTTGTTGCCATTGCTTTTGGTGTTTTGGACATGAAGTCCTTGCCCATGCCTATGTCCTGAATGGTAATGCCTAGGTTTTCTTCTAGGGTTTTTATGGTTTTAGGTCTAACGTTTAAGTCTTTAATCTATCTTGAATTGATTTTTGTATAAGGTGTAAGGAAGGGATCCAGTTTCAGCTTTCTACATATGGCTAGCCAGTTTTCCCAGCACCATTTATTAAATAGGGAATCCTTTCCCCATTGCTTGTTTTTCTCAGGTTTGTCAAAGATCAGATAGTTGTAGATATGCGGCATTATTTCTGAGGGCTCTGTTCTGTTCCGTTGATCTATATCTCTGTTTTGGTACCAGGACCATGCTGTTTTGGTTACTGTAGCCTTGTAGTATAGTTTGAAGTCAGGTAGTGTGATGCCTCCAGCTTTGTTCTTTTGGCTTAGGATTGCCTTGGCGATGCAGGCTCTTTTTTGGTTCCATATGAACTTTAAAGTAGTTTTTTCCAATTCTGTGAAGAAAGTCATTGGTAGCTTTATGGGGATGGCATTGAATCTGTAAATTACCTTGGGCAGTATGGCCATTTTCATGATATTGATTCTTCCTACCCATGAGCATGGAATGTTCTTCCATTTGTTTGTATCCTCTTTTATTTCCTTGAGCAGTGGTTTGTAGTTCTCCTTGAAGAGGTCCTTCACATCCCTTGTGAGTTGGATTCCTAGGTATTTTATTCTCTTTGAAGCAATTGTGAATGGGAGTTCACTCATGATTTGGCTCTCTGTCTATTATTGGTGTATAGGAATGCTTGTGATTTTTGCACATTGATTTTGTATCCTGAGACTTTGCTGAAGTTGCTTATCAGCTTAAGGAGATTTTGGGCTGAGACAATGGGGTTTTCCAGATATACAATCATGTCATCTGCAAACAGGGACAATTTGACTTCCTCTTTTCCTAATTGAATACCCTTTATTTCCTTCTCCTGCCTAATTGCCCTGGCCAGAACTTCCAACACTATGTTGAATAGGAGTGGTGAGAGAGGGCATCCCTGTCTTGTGCCAGTTTTCAAAGGGAATGCTTCCAGTTTTTGCCCATTCAGTATGATATTGGCTGTGGGTTTGTCATAGATAGCTCTTATTATTTTGAAATACGTCCCATCAATACCTAATTTATTGAGAGTTTTTAGCATGAAGGGTTGTTGAATTTTGTCAAAGGCTTTTTCTGCATCTATTGAGATAATCATGTGGTTTTTGTCTTTGGCTCTGTTTATATGCTGGATTACATTTATTGATTTGCGTATATTGAACCAGCCTTGCATCCCAGGGATGAAGCCCACTTGATCATGGTGGATAAGCTTTTTGATGTGCTGCTGGATTCGTTTTGCCAGAATTTTATTGAGGATTTTTGCATCAATGTTCATCAAGGATATTGGTCTAAAATTCTCTTTTTTGGTTGTGTCTCTGCCCGGCTTTGGTATCAGAATGATGCTGGCCTCATAAAATGAGTTAGGGAGGATTCCCTCTTTTTCTAATGATTGGAATAATTTCAGAAGGAATGGTACCAGTTCCTCCTTGTACCTCTGGTAGAATTCGGCTGTGAATCCATCTGGTCCTGGACTCTTTTTGGTTGGTAAACTATTGATTATTGCCACAATTTCAGGTCCTGTTATTGGTCTATTCAGAGATTCAACTTCTTCCTGGTTTAGTCTTGGGAGAGTGTATGTGTCGAGGAATTTATCCATTTCTTCTAGATTTTCTAGTTTATTTGCGTAGAGGTGTTTGTAGTATTCTCTGATGGTAGTTTGTGTTTCTGTGGGATCGGTGGTGATATCCCCTTTATCATTTTTTATTGTGTCTATTTGATTCTTCTCTCTTTTTTTCTTTATTAGTCTTGCTAGCGGTCTATCAGTTTTGTTGATCCTTTCAAAAAACCAGCTCCTGGATTCATTAATTTTTTGGAGGGTTTTTTGTGTCTCTATTTCCTTCAGTTCTGCTCTGATTTTAGTTATTTCTTGCCTTCTGCTAGCTTTTGAATGTGTTTGCTCTTGCTTTTCTAGTTCTTTTAATTGTGATGTTAGGGTGTCAATTTTGTATCTTTCCTGCTTTCTCTTGTGGGCATTTAGTGCTATAAATTTCCCTCTACACACTGCTTTGAATGCGTCCCAGAGATTCTGGTATGTTGTGTCTTTGTTCTCATTGGTTTCAAAGAACATCTTTATTTCTGCCTTCATTTCGTTATGTATCCAGTAGTCATTCAGGAGCAGGTTGTTCAGTTTCCATGTAGTTGAGCGGTTTTGAGTGAGATTCTTAATCCTGAGTTCTAGTTTGATTGCACTGTGGTCTGAGAGATAGTTTGTTATAATCTCTGTTCTTTTACATTTGCTGAGGAGAGCTTTACTTCCAAGTATGTGGTCAATTTTGGAACAGGTGTGGTGTGGTGCTGAAAAAAATGTATATTTTGTTGATTTGGGGTGGAGAGTTCTGTAGATGTCTATTAGGTCTGCTTGGTGCAGAGCTGAGTTCAATTCCTGGGTATCCTTGTTGACTTTCTGTCACGTTGATCTGTCTAATGTTGACAGTGGGGTGTTAAAGTCTCCCATTATTAATGTGTGGGAGTCTAAGTCTCTTTGTAGGTCACTCAGGACTTGCTTTATGAATCTGGGTGCTCCTGTATTGGGTGCATATATATTTAGGATAGTTAGCTCTTCTTGTTGAATTGATCCCTTTACCATTATGTAATGGCCTTCTCTGTCTCTTTTTATCTCTGTTGGTTTAAAGTCTGTTTTATCAGAGACTAGGATTGCAACCCCTGCCTTTTTTTGTTTTCCATTTGCTTGGTAGATCTTCCTCCATCCCTTTATTTTGAGCCTGTGTGTGTCTCTGCACTTGAGATGGGTTTCCTGAATACAGCACACTGATGGGTCTTGACTCCTTATCCAACTTGCCAGTCTGTGTCTTTTAATTGGAGCATTTAGTCCATTGACATTTAAAGTTAATATTGTTATGTGTGAATTTGATCCTGTCATTATGATGTTAGCTGGTGATTTTGCTTGTTAGTTGATGCAGTTTCTTCCTAGTCTCGATGGTCTTTATATTTTGGCATGATTTTGCAGCGGCTGGTACCGGTTGTTCCTTTCCATGTTTAGTGCTTCCTTCAGGGGCTCTTTTAGGGCAGGCCTGGTGGTGACAAAATCTCTCAACATTTGCTTGTCTGTAAAGTATTTTATTTCTCCTTCACTTATGAAGCTTAGTTTGGCTGGATATGAAATTCACGTTCAGATTCAGGAAATACAGAGAACACCACAGAGATACTCCTCGAGAAGAGCAACTCCAAGACACATAATTGTCAGATTCACCAAAGTTGAAATGAAGGAAAAAATGTTAAGGGCAGCCAGAGAGAAAGGTCGGGTTACCCTCAAAGGGAAGCCCATCAGACTAACAGTGGATCTCTCGGCAGAAACCCTACAAGCCAGAAGAGAGTGGGGGCCAACATTCAACATTCTTGAGCATCTTTTTATATGTGCATGGGCCATTTTTGTATCATCTTTGAAGAAATGTCCATTCAGACTGTATTAGTCCATTCTTACACTGCTATATAGAAATATCTGAGACTGGGTAACTTATAAAGGAAAGAGATTTAATTGACTCACAGTTCCTCATTGGTGGGGAGGCCTCAAAAAACTTATAATCCGGTGGAAGGCAAAGTAGATGAAGGCACCTTCTTCACAGGGTGGTAGGACAGAGTCAGTGCAAGCAGGGGAAATGCCAGACGTTTATAAAACAATAATATCTCATGAGACTCAATCATTATCATGAGAACAGCATGGAGGAAACCGACCCCATGATCCAGTTACCTCCACCTCGTCCCACCCTTGACACGTGGGGGACACAGCCAAACCATATCACAGACCCTTTTTCTATATAGTAGTTTTTATTTGTAATATGTTGTCTTTTAATTATTGAATTGTAATTATTTTATATTTATATTCATATATGAATGTATAAGATATATGATGTATTACATAGGTGTATACATATATATTCTAGATGTAAGTTATTTTCTCTCATTTGTTGGGTTGTCTTTTTAATTTCTTGATAGTATCCTTTGAAGCATAAAAGGTTTATTTTTATGAAATCCAATGAATCTATTTTTTTCTGTTGCTGCTTGTGCATGTCATATCTAAGAAACCATTGCCAAATTCAAGGCCACAAATAGTTTACACCTATGCTTTCTTCTAAGAGTTTTATAGTTTCAGTGCTTACATTTACGTCTTTGGCCATTTTTAATTTTTATACATAGTAGTGGATCCAACTTCTTCTTCTTCTTCTTTTTTTTTTTTTTTGTTGTCATGTGGATAACCATTGTCCCAGCACCATTTTGAGAGAACACAGACATTTAAAAAATTACCACTCCCTTTATTCTCATGCCTCTTCCAATTCATGTCTTTATCACCCCACAGCAGGCTTTTGGAGAGTATGGAAGGAAGGACTCTTAATGATGTCCCATTGATAAGTATGTGCTTATCCCATTTGAACTGCTCATCTCTGCCACAGTCCACTTACCATATTCTTCCCACAGGTCCAATAACTCTCCAAAGCAAAAGATTTGGAGTCCTAGATCTAGACTTATTCTTAGCTTTCCTATTTATTAATCATGTCAACTAGCGAAAGTTATTCCACTCTTCTAGCTTCTATTTTTTTTTTAATCTGTTAAGTGAAGTGAGCGAAACAGAAGTGAACACACTGGGACTCTGGTCCACATTCCCTCAGACTTTTTTCATGGACACTCCTTTCCTCAGCTCCTTTGGCATTTGCTTCAAACAGCCTGCATCTGAATCTCCCTTTGAAAGACTTCCCTTGAGTCACTAGAACCATTTTTCCTGCCTGGGCAGAAAGCTGGAAGTGACTGGGAATTACATTACCCCCTAGGGATATGGAAACCTCTACCTTATGAGGACAAGATCCAAGCTGTAATTTGCCCTCCACAGTTCTCCCAAAGAATGAGACCAGGGCTAGAGCATCACCAGAAACTGTACCCTGCTTGCCTTTTTCCTTTCCCTGTTCTACATCCCCCATTCCCTTCTGGCTTCTCCCAGGGCGGTACCTTAATAAAATGCTTTAACACAAATCCTCACCTCAGGATCTGCTCTAGAGAAACTGACCCAAGATAAATAACTCCCTTGTACAACTCCTGCTTGGATAAATGAGATTTTGTATTCCACATGCAAAAGAATGAAGTCTTACCTTACACCATATATGAAAACTAACACAAGATGGATCAAAGACCTAATGTTAGAACTAGAACTGTAAAGCTCTTAGAAGAAAACATGAGAATTTAACCTAGAATAATATCTAAAAAATAAGAAGCATTCAATCAATGCCATTTGTCTTGTGATTGTCATTGTTGTTGTTTTCATGGCTACCTACCAACCAAAATTCCTAGGGTTGACTGTAGGCACATGACAGACCAATTAGTGTTTTTGTATTCAATTTTTAAAACTTTATTTTTGCTTTAATGTATTTTTTCCTGTTTTAACAGGTCTTTTGTGAAGACTTTGAAGTTGCAGGTTCATTCTGCCGCCATATACGTAACATTCTAAGGTAAACTTAGTTTAACTTAATGGTACTGATCGCCCACTAAATAAATAGGTACACCCTGATGTTAGTCAGTTTATATGTGTCTTATTTTTCCCTGATATAATTTTTTCAATGTATCTCAGAGAAGGATGCTTTTTAACATCTTTGAATAGCAGTATCTTCCCACAGTTCAGACCAGGTGTTCTGTGCCTGGAAGAAAAATTCTCATTAAGTGGAATATATTTGGCTCTTTTGTTTCCAACAAGGTAATGAAAAAGGTTTAATCCTATTAATTATCTTTAGGAAAACACAAAAATTATTTGCGTGTCATGAGCAGCCTATGGGTTTCTCAAGGCCAAAAATGAGTCTATTTCCTTGTGCAAAATTCCTTTCATAAATTCTATGATAGATTGTTTTGCTTTCACTGTGACAAGAATCAAGCCTTTGAGACTTTCTGTTCATCTTCTTTTTGAAAATAAGTACTGTGGAAAAACAATCTATTTGCTGTCATACTATGCCATGGAAAATTATTCCTGGAAAGGTATTTGTACTACCTTTGGAATTAGAAATGTATCACTAATCACTAGTTAGTTATATTAATACATAAAGAACTGTTTAATAAAGATATAAATAGGATCTATTTTAACATCAGAAATAATATTGTGCAGTTGTCTAGTGACATGAATATTATAGTTTCCTGTGCTGTATCATTTGATCATACAGCAGTCATTCAGAGCAATATTAGTTAAGGTTCTCCAGAGAAATAGAACCAGAAAAACAGGGCTCTCCAGAGGAATAGAACTAGCAGCCAGAGTATATAGATAGAGATATAAATATAGGTATCTAAGAGTGATTAATTATGGAAGCTTTCTCACACCCTTGTAAGTCCCCCGATGTGCCATACTCAAGCTGGAGCACCAGGAAGCCAGTGGTATAGCTCAGTCTGAGGCTGAAAGCCTGAGAACAGGTGGGTGGGGGCATGCTGGTCTATGTGCTGAAGTCTAAAGGCCCAAGAATCTGGAGCTCTGATGTCCAAGGGCAGGAAAAAAATGGGTTTCCCAGCTCCAGAAGAGAGAATGAATTTGTTTTCCTTTGCCTTTTTGGTCTATCTGGTACCTCAACCAATTGGATGGGGCCCCTCACATTGGGTGAGGGCCGATCTTCCTTACTTAGTCCACTGGTTCAAATATCAATCTCTTCTGTAAACATGCTCACAGACATACCCAGAAAACATTCTGTACTAGCTATCTGCATATCCCTTAACCCAGTCAAGATGATCCCTAAAATTAACCATCACAAGGATATTTATTATCTATCTCATGAATCTATATTTTTCTGTTGCTGCTTGTACATGTCATATCTAAGAAACCATTGCCAAGTTCAAGGCCACTAAAGTGACTGCTGTGTTGGAGATAAACAATACACAAGATAGTTGTGTTCCACTTTCCAGAGAATATAGTTGTTGCTACAAAAAAAAATTAACTGTCTAGACAAAGACTGCATCTCCCAGGCTCTTATGCCTTCAGATATGGCCATGAGACTATATCTTGCCAATAGACTATGAGCAGAAATGAAGAGTGTTACTTCCAGACCCAGGTTTTTAACAAGTGAGTCTGCATTAATCATTATCTTTCTCCCTATCCTCCATCTGACAGCAGAGGAGTCTAGGGCCCCCAAGGATACAGAGATCACAAATGGATATATGGATTCAGGGAGGAACCTGAATCCATATATCCCTGAAGAAAGGAAAACTACCCACCAAGTAGGAACCACTCACGCTGAAATGAACTCAGAACTCATGCCCTTACACATCAGGTAAACATGCAGTTGTTCTTAAATGTCATTGTGTATATAAACACCAGTGCAGGATATTACAAATGCAGATTTTCTGACTCCAACCCAGAGAGTACTCTTCCATGGGTCAGTTTAAATTGGCACCTTGGATAATTCTGTAACACCACCATAATAAAGAAATACACCACCTCCCCACTCTACCTCCATTAGATGGTAGAAATTACTTGTCTTGTGTCTAGATCAATATCTCACTCAGAGTACATTTACAATATTTTAAAACTTTTTCCTTGATGAATATATTATTATGTAGGAAATTGAAACTGGGGGAAAAAAATCCCCCAGCATTCACTCTCATGTTCCGAAAGATTTCAAACACCAAGGCAAGAAGATCATATCACTTTATCTTGGATTGTGTGTCTAGGTTACTGTGGACAGCACTTTCAGGAGGAGAGGTAAGTAAAGTGGAAATCTGGAACTGGTTTAAAAGGGAACATGATGATAAGGATATCAAAAAAAAAAAAAAATGTCCCAAAGTCACTCTGACTCTTAACTATCACAGAGATAATACAATGCAAGGAGATTAATTTTTAGGACTTAAATAAACTCACATTATTATTAAAAGATTAGTTCAAAACTTGAAACATATTTACCATTATAATGAAATTAATTAATACCTAATAATCCATATTCATTATTGCTGGCTTAAGGAAACATGAGGATTTCTGATGTAATTCTGACTCAGAAGTAAGAGCTAGATCTTCAGAGAAATATCCTGAGCTGGAAAGAGATTGGTGGTGTCAGAGATGCACGTGCACTGACAAGATGTTTAATAGGAATTCCAAAATTTCAATGGTTTAAAGGGAAACTCTTCAAACTGTCTCTTTTTCTGCCATAGAATACATGGAAATCTGGAAGAATATGCTGAAAATGTTAGTAATCATTACAGAGCCAGATCAATTTGACTGTGGCACTGATCAGAAAATAAATTCAATTGCAGGTTATTGTCAAGGTGCCCCAACTTCATTGTCAAAATCAATGGCATATCCAGGTCAATGAACATTTGTCACCATTTTAAGCATGGTGGATGTATCCTTAAGTTTCATATATGTTTGCAACTTATTTAAAAATAGTTTAAGGTACTTTTTTGGTTTAAAATTGATCGTAAATTAAGGATTTTAATAGTAACATTTTATAGCTTTATTACCACAGCAATTTGATTTCACATAAAGTTATGTCTTAAAGGTAATCTGTACAGCCAATTCTTTCTTATGTCAGAATCTAAAAATCTTTTTTCTGTTTTCATGGTCATCATCACAATGAATGTTATGTTGCAGTGAAAGATTGAAATGTTCTAAAAATTTATAGCTGTTCTCACATTTGATTTATTCTTTTTTGTTATGATATTTGATTTCTTTTAAAATGCAACAGGTTGTTTTACTAGTGTTGGATAACAAATTTCTTGAAGATTTCCAGAAAACAAAAGTTATATCAAAATGAGAAAAACAACTAAGCAAAACTCTGAAACACTTTACTTCAAGCACTAACATGAGCTGGCTTAGCAGTGTCTACAAAGTGCCAAATCAACCTGGTAGAGAGAAAAAAAAAATCATTAACTTGCCTGGTTGCTTTGGCTACATGTTGCTAGTTTCACTTTTTCACGGAAATGTTTTGGCATTAGGAAGAAAAATATATACATTGTAGATTGAAGAGATTAATACTTTGCTCATTTTTTCATGTGTTTTTTGGCTGCATAAATGTCTTCTTTTGAGAAGTGTCTGTTCATGTCCTTTGCCCACTTTTTGATGGGGTTGTTTGTTTTTTTCTTGTAAATTTGTTTGAGTTCATTGTAGATTCTGGATATTAGCCCTTTGTCAGATGAGTAGGTTGCAAAAATTTTCTCCCATTTTGTAGGTTGCCTGTTCACTCTGATGGTAGTTTCTTTTGCTGTGCAGAAGCTCTTTAGTTTAATTAGATCCCATTTGTCAATTTTGGCTTCTGTTGCCATTGCTTTTGGTGTTTTAGACATGATGTCCTTGCCCATGCCTATGTCCTGAATGGTAATGCCTAGGTTTTCTTCTAGGGTTTTTATGGTTTTAGGTCTAACGTTTAAGTCTTTAATCCATCTTGAATTGATTTTTGTATAAGGTGTAAGGAAGCGATCCAGTTTCAGCTTTCTACATATGGCTAGCCAGTTTTCCCAGCACTATTTATTAAATAGGGACTCCTTTCCCCATTGCTTGTTTTTCTCAGGTTTGTCAAAGATCAGATAGTTGTAGATATGCGGCGTTATTTCTGAGGTCTCTGTTCTGTTCCATTGGTCTATATCTCTGTTTTGGTACCAGTACCATGCTGTTTTGGTTACTGTAGCCTTGTAGTATAGTTTGAAAAAATGCTCACCATCACTGACCATCAGAGAAATGCAAATCAAAACCGCAGTGAGATACCATCTCACACCAGTTAGAATGGCAATCATTAAAAAGTCAGGAAACAACAGGTGCTGGAGAGGATGTGGAGAAATAGGAACACTTTTACACTGTTGGTGGGACTGTAAACTAGTTCAACCATTGTGGAAGTCAGTGTGGCGATTCCTCAGAGATCTAGAACTAGAAATACCATTTGACCCAGCCATCTCATTACTGGGTATATACCCAAAGGACTATAAATCATGCTGCTATAAAGACACATGCATGCGTATGTTTATTGTGGCATTATTCACAATAGCAAAGACTTGGAACCAACACAAATGTCCAACAATGATAGACTGGATTAAGAAAATGTGGCACATATACACCATGGAATACTATGCAGCCATAAAAAATGATGAGTTCATGTCCTTTGTAGGGACATGGATGAAGTTGGAAATCATTATTCTCAGTAAACTATCACAAGAACAAAAAACCAAACACCACATATTCTCACTCATAGGTGGGAATTGAACAATGAGAACACATGGACACAGGAAGGGGAACATCACACACCGGGGACTGTTGTGGGGTGTGGGGAGGGGGGAGGGATAGCACTGGGAGATATACCTAATGCTAGATGACGAGTTAGTGGGTGCAGCACACCAGCATGGCACATGTATACATATGTAACTAACCTGCACATTGTGCACATGTACCCTAAAACTTAAAGTATAATAATAATAAATAAATAAAACAAAATAAAATAAAAAAATGTGGCACATTAAAAAAAAAGACTTTGCTCAACTCAATTGTATGGATTTTTTTTAATTTGAAGACTTAGATTTTTTTCAAAAATGTTGGCTAAAGACTGAATTCATAGAAGAAAATAGTGGCATTTTCTTTCTAAATCAGATACTTCACTGACATACTGAGCCATCATTTTTCTCTTTGACATATACTTATTTCATAGTAAGATTGTGTCCTTTTTCTTAAGCTTATGTTCTTTTCAAAATTAAGTGTTTTATGTACATCAAAAGATGAGAGGAAAATTAAATAAAATTTGAGCAATTATTGAGGAAAATAATCACTTTTCAAAAATTAGTAGGCTTTAAAAAAATAAAATTGACAAGGATCCTGACAGAACCAAAGGAGTGGAGGGTTTGAGTAATATCAGGCAGATCACTTGCAGTCAGGAGTTGGAGACCAGCCTGGCCAACATGGTGAAGCTCTGTGTCTACTAAAAAAACAAAAATTAGTCGGGTGTAATGACAGACACCTGTAGTTCCAGCCACTCGGGAGGCTGAGGCAGGAGGATAGTTTGAACCCAGGAGGCAGAGTTTGCAGTGTGCTGAGATCATGCCATTGCACTCCAGCCTGGGCAACAGAGCAAGAGTCCACCTCAAAAAACAAACAAACAAACAAAAAAACCTATTGTGTTAAAAAAAAATGATGTTTTAAATTAAGGAAATGGAATATAATTATTATTTTTACTTTATATAATAGGACAAATACATTGTTTCCTGTTTTTTCCTAATATATACTAGTCATTAATAATGAATTAATATCTGTTTAAAAATTACAATTTAACATACCATCTTGAAGCCATCTTGAATTTTTCTAAAGATGCATGCATCAAGCAACATAATGTTATTATTTGCCATTCTTAGAATTTTAGTTCAACCCCTGGACAGATCATTTTCAATTCACCATCTTTTGTTTGTGTTGCAACATTCTGCATCTCTTGACACTTCTGCAGAATACCTGTTATAATGTTTGTCTCTTCACCTCTTCCATACCCCAGTGTTCACACCTCGAGGAATTATCATGTTACAAGTAAACAAATATGTTCTATCTACCAGTTTGCAAAAGTGGGCAAAACAAGTGTTTTTTATCACTACTCAGCATACACTGCAAATACATCTCGTGCATGCTTATTAAGTTTTAATTGAAACATTAAAGCTGAGGCTAAATTACTATTTAATTGCAAGACCACTGTTAATTATTTTATACTTTGTTTGTTTGGCAAGCAAATCAACAATTGAGTTTTCTGTATGAGAGACATTGATGACTCAAAAAAATGACCTAGAGATTTTACCTGCCTAGGGAAAAAAACAGAAAGTAAAATGTTTTCCATCTGATTTTAAGATGATCAGATATAGAGTACTACAAATATAATTTCCTAAGGAAATGCCATCTTTCTTTTCAAGTGTGGTGTTGTATTTCTTTCTTTGGGAAAAGCTGAGGAATCCGCTCTTTCAGATTCCAGGTGTAGAATCGGTAGATGTGATTCTTCCTATGCTGGAATCGGATTCAAGACAGCTAGCTGATGGGAAACGTAATTCACTAAGGCTGTCCATCAGTAACTTTCAACTTAATTTATGAATTTTGCATTTTCAGCGAAGACGAAATGCTTCATAAGAACCTGATTCAGGCAGTGAGTGCAATCAGATCCACCGCTGGCAAAATTCCACTGGGTAAAATAGAGCAATGAGATAAGCTGGAGCATTTGCCAGTCTAAAAAGAAAATGCAACCCTAAAAATATGTTTCCAGGTTTATTTAGAGAAAATTATTTCCATAGAGCCATAATTATGAGGTGTTGTGGTATCTGCAGTAAGCAATTTAATATTGTATTTCAACTCCTAAAGGCAGTGAGGAGGTAGCAGAAAATAGCATGCATGGAAAACCTTACCATATTATGTCAGTGAATGTTATGAATGACACCTGTGCCACCCAGCCTGGTTACATTTTTTTAATCATTATTTTAATCAAATAAAGACACATATAATCAGTTTTGGGTTTTTTTAATGAATACGTTGTATATAAACAGCCACCATTTTCATTGAATCTCTAATATATGGCTAGTATCATGCTAGGTTCTAATTTACTGTATATGATAGATATTTAGATTTATGTGTAATAAACTATACCTACTAAATATAAATACATGTGGTTATATATGCATGCAGATGCATAAATGTATATGAAATAAAATGGAGGAAAAGAGGCTTAGAATAGTGTTACACTTAAAGAGTAGCTGTTTGTGAACATTATTACAACATGTAAAAGTCTCCCTGTGGGGGGTGTATGTCTTCCTAAAAATAAATAGAGTGTCTGAGTTAATTTTTTAACTTACTTTAATTTTTCTCTCATGGACATGAAAACAAAACAGTTAAAAATGTAAAGTAATAGTTATCTTCTTTCTCCTAAGGCTACTGTGTACATATTCCTAGAAATTAATAGGAAATTAATGTGATTGTGCATCAACCATTAAAACTTGGGAGAAAATGAAATGTATTAGGAATACTGAGCATTTTGGATGTGGCGTGTATAAAGTATCTAATGTACTTAAATATTTGAACACCACTCCTTCAAGGATTCACTTTTAAGAAGAGGTGTTAAGTGATTGTGTGAACTGCCTCTTGTTTTCCTACATGCAGTGTTTAGAAAGAATTCAGGTTCCACTCAAGGATTGTTATCTTACAATATCTTCTAAGAAGGTGTTGGTGTGAAGGTCTTCTTAGACAGCTAACATCTCATGTCTGTCAGCCAAAGAAAGAATTCACGGAGGAGACTGTTTCCATGTGAGCTGGTGTTCTGCTAACTTAAAATTGTAATCTGTATGCAGAAATAAAAACAACAACAAAAAAAATCCTGTCATAAGAAATAAATAACTTCCCATGGGTAGTTACATGTCCTTGAAAAAGCTTCATACTATTGAAAACATCTTGCTAATTGATAACATTATTTGAAACATGCTGATAACTCACTTGGACCTTGTGAGAATAAATTTCCCATGAGTACTAGTAATGAACAGCATAGAGCCTACCCACCCAAGAAAACACCAATTTCCTTTAACTCCCTCTGCCTGCAAGTTGCACTATTCCTCCAGCCAATTAAAACATGCTTCAAGTATGTGGTGAGGCATGACCAGACCCTCCCAGCCACGACAGAGGAGTTCATAAAGCTGAGTGAAGTAGGAGGAGAGATAATTACCGTCAATATGCCTCCCACGTGGGAAACTGTTAAACTTACCATTCTTCTCAGTGGTACGTTTGATGTAATATGTTCATTTTTGTGCTTATTCTTATGTTTCAGGATGTTGTCTAGGAAAAGGTGTCTAGACAGAATGGAAAAGAACCTTTTCAGTACGTCTTGTAGTGGTTGTAAAATGAGTGACAAAATAACAGATCTGGTCATTCTGTGGTGGAAACTTCTAAAAGGATTGTTTTCCATTGTTTGTTTGTGGAGTATTTTGAATGTTTCTAAAATAGCTCTTAATACAGGGAATATTCCTGTGAAATAGGAGCCTCCTAAAATCTTTTAGCAAATTCATCCTTGCTGAGCAAGGTACCCTGAAAACTATACTGAACAAAAAACAAAAACAAGCAAATAATCAAATCAGCTCTGATTTTAGAAAAATTGCATGATGGCTAGCTCTCCAAACCTTAAGAATATGGACACTGAGCATTGTAAAGCTTCATCAGAACTGTGAGTCCACTGACCAGAGCTATAATGTCAGCCTTTGTATGGAACTATTTATTGCACGCCACTGGGTAACATGTAACTCTCATAACACATTATAATAATAATAACCAAAATTAATTGAGTGTTTAGTAGGCATTGTATTTCAACATATATAGATCATGTAATTTAATCATCCTTACAAGACTGTGCAAACGTGTTAGATTGTGAGAAAGCAATGCATATAAAGATATCTGTAATAATTATGTATCTACCCTTTATTGGGTGTTTATTAAATGTCAAGTATTAACATTTGTTACCTATTTTAATCTTTATTCAGTCATTATAAGGATATTAGTATCATTATGATTACAGTTTAGGAGAATAAGGCAAAGAAATCTTAAATAATTTGCTCAAGTTCACATAGAAGGTCTAGGATTCAGGCTCACGTTTACCCAATCAGTGTTCTTTCCAAAATAAAAAAGATATTAAATTTCCTGTTGTCACAGGAAATCTTTCTTTCATTTTCATTTTAGTTGACACACGATAATTGTACATATTTATGGGGTACAGAATGATATTTTGTTACATGTATACAATGTGTAACGATCAAATTAGAGTAATTAGTATATCTGTCATCTCAAACATTTATCATTTCTTTGTGTTGGGAACATTCAAAATCCTCCCTTCAACCTTTTGAAAGTATACAATAAATTATTATTAACTATATTCACCCATTAGTGCTATTGTACACCAGAACTTAATCCTTTTCTCCCCTATAATTTTTTCTATCCATTAACAAACCTCTTCGTATCCTTTCCTCCTCACTACACTTCCCAGCCTGTAATAACCACAATTCTACTCTCTACTTCTTTGACCTCGACATTTTTAGCGCTGACATATGCGTGAGAACATGCAGTATTTACCATTCTGTGCCTGACTTATTTCATTTAACATAATGTTCTCTAGGCACAGGGGTCCCCAACCCCTGGGCCACCCCTGGGCCTTGGACTGGTAGCCTCCCTGGCCTTTTAGGAACCAGGCTGCCAAGCAGGAGGTGAGCGGCAAGCAAAGGAGCGTTACCTCCTGAGCTCCACCTCCTGTCAGATCAGCGGTGGCCTCAGATTCTCATAGGAGTGTGCACCCTATTGTGATCTGTGCATGCAAGAGATCTAAACTGTGCACTCCTTGTGAGAATCTAATACCCGATGATCTGAGGTGGGACAGTTTCATCTCAAAACTGTCCCCCACTCATTCACAAACCCCACTGGAAAAACTGTCTTCCACAAAACCATTCCCTGGTGCCAAAAAGGTTGGGGACTGCTTCTTTAGGCTCAATCACGTTGCCACAAATGACAGGATTTTATCTTTTTTATGGCTGAATAGTATTCCATTGTGAATATATACCATATTTTCTTTAGTCATTAATCTGTTAATAAACATTTAGTTTAATTCATATCTTGGCTAACATGAATAGTGCTACAATAAACATGGGTGCAGATATCTCTTCAATATACTGACTTTTCCTTTAGATAATCAGTAATGAGATTGCTGGATCACATGATCATTCTATTTTTAGTGAAAAACCTCTATACTGTTTTCCATAATGGCTATGCCAATTTACATTGCCAGCAACAGTATATGAGTTCCTTTTCTCCACTTTCTCACTAGCACTTGTTATTTTTTCTTTTTGATAATAGCCATTCTAAGTTAGGTGGGATCATACATCATTGTGGCTTTGATTTGCATTTCCCTGATGATTAGTGATGCTGAGCATTTGCTCATATACTTGGCCATTTCTGGCTATTTCTGTCTTTTTGGGGAAATGTCTATTGAGATATTTTGCCCATATTTAATGGGATTATACATCATTATTTTTGCTGTTGAGTTGAGTTGGTTGTATATTTCGGATCTTAGTCCCTCATTGCATGTATAGCTTGCAAATATTCTCTCCCATTCTACAGGTAGTGTCTTCACTCTGTTGATTGTTTACTTTGCTGTGCAGAAGCTTTTTAGTTTTATCGAGTCTCATTTGTCTACTTTTGTTTTTGTTGCCTGTTTTTGAAGTCTTACTCATAAAATCTTTGCCTAGACCAAACTTCTGAAGTACTTTTCCTATGTTTTCTTCTAGTAGTTTTATAGTTTTGGGTCTTACATTTAAATCTTTAATTCATTGTTGAGTTTATACGGTGAAGAGTAAGGGTCTAATTTCATTCTTCTGCATATGGATATTTAGTTTTCCCAGCATACTTTATTGAAGAGGGTGCCCATTCCCCAATGTATGTTTTTGGTGCCTTTATCAAAAATCAGTTGGCTGTAAATAAGAACAAACCTCAGAGATGTGGGTTCAGTTCCAGACTATTGCAATAAAGCAAATATCGCAATAAAGTGAGTCACACAAAAATTTTGGTTTCCCAGTGCATATAAAAGTTATGTTTACACAATACTGTAGTCTAATAAGTGTGAAATAGCATTATGTCTAAAAAATAATATATATACCTTAATTTAAAAATACCTTATTGGCCAAATATGGTGGCTCATGCCTGTAATCCCAGTACTTTCAGAGCCCCAGGTGGTCGGATCACTTGAGGCCAGGAGTTCAAGACCAGCCTGGCCAATAGGATGAAACCCTGACTCTACTAAAAATACAAAAAAAATGAGTTTTGCGTGGTGACAGGTGCCTGTAATCCCAGCTACTCAGGAGACTGAGGCATGAGAATTGCTTGAACCTGGGAGTTGGAGGTTGCAGTGAGCCAGGATTATGCCACTGCACTTCAGAGAAAGACTCTGTCTCAATAAAAATAAATAAATAAATAAATAAATAAATAAACTTTATTGCTAAAAAATGTTAACAGTCATCTGAACCATCAGCAAGTTTTATAATCTTTTTGCTGGTGGAGGGTCTTGCCTTGATGTTGATGGCTGCTGACTGAGCAGGGTGGTGGTTGCTGAAGGCTGGGGTGGCTGTGGCAATTTCTCAAAATGAGACAATGACATTTGCCACGTTGATGGACTCTTCCTTTCATGAAAGATTTCTCTGTAGTACGTGATGCTGTTTGATATCATTTTACCCACAGTAGAACATCTTTCAACATTGGAGTCAATCCTATCAAACTCTGCCACTGCTTTATCAACTAAATTTATAAAATATTATAAATTCTTTATTGTCATTTCAACAATGGTCACAGCAGCTTTACCAGGAGTAGATTTCATCTTAAGAAACCACTTTCTTTGCCTCTTCATAAGAGGCAACTCCTCATACATTCAAGTTTTATCATGAGATTGAACACATTTTTCTAATTCTGGTTTTCTCATGATTCCCAACACTTCTAGTTACTTCCTCCACTGAAGTCTTGAACCACTCAAAGTCATCCATTAGGATTGGAATCAACTTCTTCCAGATTCCTATTAATGTTGATATTTTGACCTCCTCCCATGAACCATGAATGTGTTTAAGGGCATCTAGAATGGTGACTCCTTTCCAGGGGTTTTCAATTTACTTCATTCAGATCTGTCAGAGGAATCATTATCTATGGCAGCTGTAGTCTTACAAGATTTTTTTTTTAAATAATAAGATTCGAAAGGTGAAATTATTCCTGGATCCATTGGATACAGAATGGATATTGTGTTTAGTAGGCACAAAAACATTAATCTTCTTGTACGTCTTCCTCAGAGCTCTTAAGTGACAAGCTACATTGTTGATGAGCAGTAGTATTTTAAAAGGAATCTTTTTTTCTGAGCAGTGCTTTTCAAAAGTGTGCTTAAAATATTCAGTAAACCATGCTATAAATGATGTGTTGTTATACAGGCTATTTTCTTTCATTTATAGAGCACAGACAGAGTAGATTTAGCATAATTCTTAAGGATACTATGATTTGAGAAATGGTAAATGAGCATTGACCTCCACTTAAAGTCACCAGCTACATTAGCCCCTAACAAGATAGTCAACCTATCTTTTGAAGCATTGAAGCCAGATATTGACTTCTCCTCTAGCTATGAAAGTCCTAGAAGGCATCTTTTTTTCCAATAGAAGGCTGTTTCATCCACCTTGAAAAATCTATCAATCAGTGTAGCACCCCCCTCATCAGTTATCTTAGCTAGATTTGGATAACTTGCTGTGGCTTTTACGCCAGCACTTGCTACTTCACCTTGCACTTTTATGTCATGAATATGGCTTTTTTCCTTAAACATCATGCACTAACTTCTACTAGCTTTAATCATTTATTCTGCATCTTCCTTATCTCTCTCAGCCTTCACAGAATTGAAGACAGTTAGGACCTTGCTCTGGATTAGGCTTTGGCTTAAGGGAATGTTGTGGCTGGTTTGATCTTCTATCCAGACTGCTAAAACTTTCTCCATATCAGCAATAAGATTGTTTGGCTTTCTTATCATTTGTGTGTTCGCTAGAGTAGCATTTTTAATTTCTTTCAAGAACTTTTCCTTTGCATTCACAACTTGCTTAACTGTTTGGCACAAACGGCCTAGTTTTTGGCCTATCTCAGCTTTCAACAAGCCTTCCTCACTAAGCTTAATTGTTTCTAGCTTTTGACTTAAAGTGAGAGATTACAAACACCTCTATGCACACAAACTAGAAAACCTAAAAGAAATGGATAAATTCCTGGAAACATACAATCTCCCAAGATTGAACCGGGAAGAAATTGAAACCTTGAACAGACCAATAAAATATTCTGAAATTGAATCAACAATAAAAGCCTACCAACCAGGAAAAGCCCTGGACCAGAAAGATTCACAGCTGAATTCTACCAGACATATAAAAAGAGCTGGTACCATTCTTACTGAAACTATTTGAAAAAATTAAGGAGGAGGGATTCATCCCTAACATTCTGTGAGGCAGGCATTATCCCATGTGTTAGGCCATTCTTGCACTGCTATTAAGAAATCCTGATAGTAGGTAGTTTATAAGAAGAGGTTGAATTGGCTCATGGTTCTGCAAACTGTACAGAAAGCCTAGCAGCATCTGTTTCTGGGGAGGCCTCCGGAAGCTTTCAATCATGGCAGAAGGCAAAGAGGGAGCAGACACATGGCAATAATGGGAGCACGAGCAGGCATCCCACACACTTTTAAACAGACACATTCCTTGAACACTCACTCACAATTGTGAGGATAGCACCAAGGTGATGGTGCTAAACCATTCATGAGAAACCACCTCCAAGATCCAATCACCTCCCACTGGGCCCCATCTTTGATACTGAGGATTACAATTCAATGTGAGATTTGGGCGGGGACAAATATTCAAACTATGATTCCAACCCTGGCCCCTCACAAATCTCACATCTTTCTCACACTTCATAATACAAGCATGCCTTCCCAACAGTCTCTCAAAGTCAAATTCCAGCAATCACTCAAAAGTCCCAAGTTCAAGTCCAAAGTCTCATCTGAGACTCATCTCCTTCCACCTATCAGCCTGTAAAATCAAAACAAGTTATTTACTTCCAAGATATAATGAGGGTACAAGCATTGGGTAAACATTCTCATTTCAAAAGGGATGGATCAGCCGAAAGAAAGGGGATACAGGCCCCATGCAAGTTTGAAACCCAGCAGGACAGTCATTATGCCTTAAAGCTCCAAAATAATCTCTTTTGATTCCACATCCCACAGCCAAGGCACACTAGTGCAGGGGATGGGCTCCCAAGGCCTTGGACAGCTCTGCCCTTGTGGCTTTGCAAGGGTCAGCCCCTGAGACTGCAATCACAGGTTATTGAGTGCTTGTGACTTTTCCAGGTACAGGGTTCAAGCTGCCAGTGACTCAGTCCAAGTCTGAAAGCCTCAAAACCAGGGAAGCTGATAGTGCAGCCTTCAGTCTGCTACCAAAGCCACAGAGCTCCTGGGAATCCACTTATGTAAGTCCCAGAGACCAAAGTCTGATATCCAAGGGCAAGAGGAGCAGAAGCAAGTATCCCACTTGAGAAGAAAAAAAAGCCAGAAGATTCAGCAAGCAAATGTATCCCACCTTCTCCCATCTTCTTCAGCCTGCTTTGTTCTCACTGCACTGGCAGCAATTGGATAGTACCCGCCTACATTGAGAGTGAATCTTCCTCTCCCAGTCCACTGACTCAAATGTCAGTCTCCTCTGGCAACACACTCACAAACACATCCAGAAACATCCTTTATCATCCATCTAGGCATCCGTCAATCCAATCAAGTTGACATCTAATTTTAACCATCACATCCTGATACCAAAACCTGGCAGAGACACACACACAAAAAAAAAAAAGAAAGAAAAAGAAAAGAAAGCAAAGCAAAGAAAAGAAAACTTCAGACCAATATCCTTCATGAACATAGATGCAAAAATCCTCAATAAACTACTAGCAAACCAAATCCAGCAACACATCAAAAAGCTAATCCACCATGATCAAGCACAGGCTTTATCCCTGGGATGCGAGGTTGGTTTAATGTACATAAATCAATAAATGTGATTCATCACACAAACAACGACAAAAAAAATTATGTGATCATCTCAATAGATACAGAAAAGCTTTCAACAAAATTCAACATCCCTTCATGTTAAAAACCTTTAACAAACTAGGCATTGATGGAACATACCTCAAAATAATAAGAGCCATCTATGACAAACCCACAGCCAACTTCATACTGAACAGGCAAAAGCTGGAAGCATTTTACTTGAGAACAGGAACAAGACAAGGATGTCTACTCACACCACTCCTATTCAACATAGTACAATGTTCTTAATCTATAAGAAACTTAAATAAAATATCAAGCAAAAACAAGCAACCCCATTAGAAAGTGGGCAAAGGACACAAACAACAGAACAGTCAGTCAGTAGAAAGAAATAAAAGGCACCCAAATAGAAAGGAAGAAATCAAATTATCTGTTTGCAGAAAATATAATTTTACACCTAGAAAACCTCATAGTCTCTGCCCAAAACCTCCTAGATGTGACTAACAACTGGTTTCAGCAAAGTTTCATGATACTAAATCAATGTATGAAAATTAGTAGCATTTCTATACACCAGCAATGTCCAAGCTGAGAGCCAAATCAAAAACACAATCCCATTCACAATAGACACAAAAAGAATAAAATACCCAGGAATAATGCTAACCAGGGAGACAAAGATGTCTACAATGAGAATTACAGAACACTGCTGAAAGAACTTAAAGATGACACAAACATATGGAAAAACATTCCATGCATATGGATATCAAGAATCAATATTGTTAAAATGGCCACACTACCCAAAGCAATTTACAGATTTCAATGCTATTCCTATCAAACTGTCAATGACATTATGCACAGAATTAGAAGAAACTATCCTAAAATTCATTTGGAACCAAAAAAGAGCCCAAATTGCCAAAGCAATTCTAAGCGAAAAGAACAAAGCTGGAGGCATCACATTGCCCTACTTCAAACTATACCACAAGGCTACAATAACCAAAACAGCATGGTGCTGATACAGAAACAGATACCCAGGACAATGGAACACAATAGGGAGCCCAGAAATAAAGCCACACACCTACAGCTATCTGATCTTTGGCAAATTCAACCAAAACAAGAAATGGGGAAATCATGCCTATTCAGTAAATGGTGTCAAGATAACTGGCTAGCCACATGCACAAGATTAAAACTCTACCCCTTCCTTTCAAAATTAACTCAAGATGGATTAAAGACTTAAATGTAAAACCTAAAACTTTATAGTTTTATATAAAACCCTAGAAGAAAACTTAGGAAATACCATTCTGGACATAGACTTTGGCAAAGATTTCATGATGAAGACACCAAAAGCAATTGCACCAAAAACAAAAACGGACAAATGGGACCTAATTAAACTGAAGAGCTACTACACAGCAAAATAAATGATCAAGAGAGTTTATTTCTACAGAATAGGATAAATATTTGCAAACTATCCATCCAACAAAGATCTAATATCCAGAATCTATAAGAAACTTAAATAAAATATCAAGCAAAAAACAAGCAACCCCATTAGAAAGTGGGCAAAGGACACAGACAATTTTCAGAAGACATACATGTAGCCAACAAGCATATAAAAAATGCTCAACATTACTCATCATTACAGAAATGCAAGTCAAAATCACACTAAGATACTGTTTCTTGCCAGTCAGAATGGCTACTATCAAAAAGTCAAAAAATAACAGATGCTGGTGAGGCTGTAGGAAAAAAAAGGGAATGCTTATATGCTGCTGGTGGGAATGTAAACAAGTTCAGCCACTGTGGAAAGAAGTTTGGTGATGTCTCAAGGAACTTAAAATAGAACTACCATTCAACCCAGTAATCCCATTATTGGGATTATACCCGAAGGAATATAAATCATTCTACCATAAAGACATATCCATGTGTATATTCATGGTAGCACTATTCACAATAGCAAAGGCATGGAATCAACCTAAATGCTAATCAACAGTAGACTGGATAAAGAAAACGTGGTACATATACACCATGGAATACTATGCAGCCATAAAGATGAGATTATATACTTCACAGCAACATGGATGGAGCTGGAGGCTATTATGCTAGATGAACTAATGCAGGAACAGAAAATATCATATGTTCTCACTTATAAGTAGGAGCTAATAAAATACCACGTCTCACTTATAAGTGGGACACAAAGAAGGAAACAATAGACACTGGGGGCTACTTGAGGATGGAGAGGGGAAGATGGGTGAGGATCAAAAAACTACCTATGGAGTACTATGCTTATCACCTGGATGACAAAATCATCTGGACACCAAACCCGTGTTGTACTCTTGTATATGTACTCTTGTTGTACATGTACTCTTGAATCTAAAATAAGAGTCAAAAAACAATAAATAAATAAAGTGATACCTGTGTGATTCTTTCTTTCACATGAACACTTAGAGGAAATTACAGGGTTATTAATTGGCTACATTTCAGTATTCTTGTGTCTCAGGGAATAGGGAGGCCCAAGAACAGTGAGAGAGATGGGGAAATGGCTGGTTGGTGGAGTAGTCAAAATACACATTTATCAGTTAAGCTCACCATCTTATATGAGTGCAGTTTTTGGCACTCTGAAACAATTACAATAGTAACATCAATGATCACAGATCACCACAACAGATATAATAATGAAAAAGTTTGAAATCTTGACAGAAATACCGAAGTGTCACAGAAACACAAAGTGAGGACATGCTTTTGAAAAATTGGCATCAATAGACTTGCTCAATACAGAGTTACCACAAATATTCCATCTTTTAAAAAATGCAATATCTGCAAAATGCAGTAAAGCAAAGCTCAATGAAATGAGGTATGCTTTTATGTGGATTTATTTCTGGGTTCTCTATTCTATTCCATTGGTATATATGTCTGTTTTTATACAGATACCATGCTGTTTTTGTTACTATAGCTTTACAGTATATTTTGAAGTCAGGTAGTGTGATGCCTCTAGTTTATTATTTTTGCTCAGTATTGCTTTGGCTATTCAGGTACTTCTGTGTTTCCATAGAAATTTTAGGATTTTTTCTATTTCTGTCAAGAGTGTCTGGTATTTTGATAAGGATTGCATTGAATCTGTAGATTGCTTCAGGTAATATGTCACCTTTAACATAACTAATTCTTCCAATTCATGAGCATGGAATATCTTTCCATTTTGTTGTGTCCTCTTCAATTTATTTCATCACTGTTTTATAGTTTTCACTGTAGAGATCTTACAACTCCTTGGTTAAATTTATTTCTAAGTATTTTGTAGTCATTGTAAATGGGATTGCTTTGTTGATCTTTTTCCAGCCCATTTATTAATGTATAGACTCATTACTGATTTTTTGTATGTTGATTTTATATCCTGCAACTTTACTGAATTTGTTTATAAATTCTAAGAGTTTTTAGGTAGAGTCTAGATTTTTCAATATACAAGATCCTGTCATCTTCATAGAGAGACAATTTGGGTTTCTCCTTTCCAACTTGATTGCCCTTTATTTCTTTCCCTTGCCTAATTGTTCTGACTAGGATTTCCAGTACTATGTTGAGTAAAAGTGGTGAAAGTGGGCATTCTGTCTTCTTCCAGTTCTTACAGGAAATTCTTTCTATGATGTTAGCTGTTATATATTGCCTTTATTGTGTTGAGGTGTTTCTTCTATATCTAATATCTTGGGAGTTTTATCATGAAAGGATGTTGAATTTTATCAAATGCTTTTTCTGTGTCTTGAGATGATCTATTTTGTCATTTGTTCTGTTCATGTGATGTACTACATTCATTGATTTTCATGTGTTGAACTATCCTTGCATTCCTGGAATAAATCCACTTGATCATTATGTATTTATCTTTTTCATGTGCCGTTGGATTTGCTTTGTTAGTATTTTGTTGAGGATTTTTGCATCTATGTTCATCAGGGATATTGGCATGTAGTTTTATTTCATTGTGTGCTTCTCTGATTTTAATATCAAGATAATGCTGGCCTCATAGAACAAATTAGGAAGGATTCCCTCCTCTTCAATTTTTTGGAATAGTTTGAGAATTGGTGTTAGTTCTTCTTTAAGATTTTGATAGAATTTAGCAGTAAAGCCACCCAGTGCTAAGCTTTTCTTTGTTGGGAGAGTTTTTATTGCTGATTTAATCTTTTTATTTATTATTGGTCCCTTGAGGTTGGCTATTTATTTTTAGGTTGTATTTGTCCAGGAATTTATCCATTCCCTCTAGGTTTCCCCATTTGTTGGCCTGTTGTTGTTCATAATGGTCTCTAATGGTGCTTTGTATTTCTCAAAGGGAATCTTTGAGAGCAGCTTAACCTGTCTGAACTGCTGCTTCAGGCCTAAGTGACAGGCCCAGGTATTGAACTCATCTTTCTAAATTTGCCAACCTTGGTTTCTTTTTTTTTATATGGCTTACATTACATGGTTTATAGTTCAAAACTATTACCCAAAATTATCTATAGCTTACAGTAAAAACTTCAACTCAAATAAACTAAATATAGGGTGGTCTAGGTGGCTTTCTTATGCTCTGGCAAATATAGATTCTTTCAAAGCATGTTCATAAACTAGTAGCCTAGAGATTGGGCAAAATTTGACAAATAATTTGATTCAGCTAGCAAAATATTTAAAAATATTGAACCAATTTTTAAAAATCAGAAAATTTCATAGAAAAAAAAAGCCTAGATTGAAAACTCCTTTTAAACTTTCAGATGGCTCTAGCAGCTAGCGCTGTGCTCACATTCTCACAGGTCGACACTTGGCTGGAGACAAAAAGTAGCTGCCCCCATTAGGTGGGGTTTATGCTCAATTTGCCACAATTCCCAACATTTCCTGATGCCTCCCCTAAACTGAGGCTGTAGGTTGCCTTTAAAAGTCACATTTACACTGTTGTCTCTGCTGCCATGTCACCACAAAAAAATTATCAAATGAAAAATACAGTTGGAGGCCTGTGTTTTCTATGAGACCTGGTATTCTATATAGTCTATAGATAGTATATATATTTTTTTCTATGAGCCTGGATATTTCTTTATGAAAATGAAAATCATGTCCGTATATTCCATGTAAAATACCAAGTGGTCTTCCCTCACTTACTTAGCTGGCTCCTATAAGTGTTTTAGCTTGCAATTCTTTTCCAGTCATTCTTCCTGAAATTCTGAGAGGAGCTTCTGCAGCTGGGAGTGTAGTCACTAGGGACACTGTGGCTAGGACTCTGCCATCCCTCACTTTTCTTATGGCAGCTCCCCTCAACCCCCACAATTTGTATATATAGTAATATTTGCAAACAACTATTGTTTAAATACGTGATACTATGGCTAAAATTAAATTTGAAAACCACCCTTGTAATAATAAGCATTAGAACATCTGTATGCACCCTCATCCCCTTATGAAAACTATGACTAGGATTAGATTCTAATACCCTCTATTAATACTCCTACACTCTACTAGAGTAGAGCATCAGTAAAATGTGTCAGGAAAGAGAAATAGGTCATCTATATGATGTATTAACATACCTGACAATATATCATAATTTGAAAGGTAGTTTTAAATATTACCTTTCTGGATAGTTTTTACCCCATAAAAAAAGAATATTCACTATCTAAACAAATTAACTTGTACCATTTCAAATAAGAAGGCTTTATTAGTAGGCCACTAACTTCCACCACTACGTTAATATGAACTGTCACTCTACTTATAAAAGTCTCCACTTCTGACAGATTATACTTGAGAGCTGTATTGCATAAAAACAGAGCATTCCTCTCATGAATCCACTTTCTGATTTGCACATAATTACTTCTTTAAAAACTAAACAGGAAAGCTATCGCATACTTTCTGCGGGAGGCTCTTCTGGCCACTCCATCTATGGGGTTGTTTGGGTAACTTACAAGGTTCTCCTGGACACTGAGACATTACTCAAAGGTAAGTTAAGTTTTACTGAGAACACAGAATCCAAGGCTTCTCCAACTCATACTTTCTAAGAAGATGCAAATTGATGTCAGTATTTCAGAGCGTAATACAAAGCAGGTTTTCTCCTGAATGATTAAGGCCTGACAAGTGCCTCCTCTTAGCCCTGGCACCTTGTTCCTATATATGTTTGCTAGTTTAGCTGCACAAAGAAACACATTTTGGGGAGAAAAAAAAAAGATAAATAGATTTTGCCAGGTTGGCTTTGAACCTATCTTTCACACCACTGTGAAGTGCACTGCCAGGATGTGCGATATGTAGTTAGAAGCAGCAGATGGAAAAGCATTTTTGAGGGGCTTTTTGATGGTTCTGAATCTATGCAGCATTTACACACCAAAGCATGCTTGTTCATCTGTTATATATTTAGGGATATTTAAACTGTGAACATTTGTCGTCCTTAAAGACTACAAAAGTATCTGGAGACTGACTGACTTACTAAATAGACACAGTAAATTGATCAATAATTAGTCTGACATCCATCACCCCATGGCCCCTCACTTTCAACCAATTCCTGGCCCTCATTCTGTATTGCCTGGCAGTAGCCTTATGTGGAGCCACGAGCATCCTATGTAGTGGAAAAAATGTCACAGCACCAAAAGAAAAATACACTCCCCGTGTACGAGTGTGGAGAGAGAGAGAGAACTTTTTAAAAAGTTATTTATTTTTTAATGGACATATAAAACTGTATGTATTTATTATGTACAACACGATGTTTTGAAGTAGACATGTATTTGTGAAATGGTTAAATTGAGCTAATTAACAAATGCATGAACTCTCATAGCTATCATTTTTTCTGGTGAGAACACTTAACATCCCACTCTCCTAGCATTTTTCAAGAATACAATATGTTGTCATTAACTAAAGTCACCATTCTATACAATACATCTCTTGAACTTATTCCTCCTGTCTAACTGTAAATATGTATCCTTTGACCAACACCTTCCCAGCCTCCTCTCCTATCAGCCCCTGTTAACCACCATTCTACTCTCTACTTCTGTGAGATCAATTTTAGATTCTACATGAGTCAGAGAGACCACTTTCAAGAAGCTCCATGAAAATATAGGACAGTGAAATGACATTGAATGTCATCCTGTAATTCAGCAAAAGGTTGAAGTTTCCATAGTTGGAGACTTTCTGCTTAGAACTTTCTCCTAATATTTTTAAATATGATATTGGAGATGAGTGTCACCAAGAGAAAAATACACTTGAACAAGCCATAGGGGATTCATTTCTTTCCCAGTTGCACATGTCTTACTCAGTAGAAACCAGTGAAAATAAAACAACATGCTTAAAATTTAATCCTGGGATAAATTGATAGCCGCTTTCCAGGGCTAGTACCAAAATGGATCCCAAATTAATAATATTTAAATTAATGACTGACATTCTCTGAAATGCCTGCATCAGACATTTGTGTTTACTATATTCCCTTCACCCATCCTTAACCTTGTTGCCTCAAATTGGCAATTTCAGAGGAAGAGCTCATGGCAAGAATAAATAAGCAGCTGTTTATGGACAACAAAGTCACTGTTGTAATAATGAGATCTGGTTGGAAGTTAGAATTATTGACTCTGGATTGTTCTGTGAATTCTGAAACCCAAAGATTATTTAAAAACTTCCTGAAGCAAACCTCAGATCCTCATCAGGCACCACTCTGTGCTTACCAATGCGTAAGTGCTATAGAGAATGTGAAAGAAGAGGAGGAAGGACAGCAGGGCTCCAAAGACAAGCAAACCCAATTTTGACAAAACATGGGCAAAGTAAGGGGGAAAAGTATCCAGTTTTGACTCAACAATTAAAATGTATTTTAATTGTATTTCACTACTTTGGCCATTGCTTGGACTCATTACAGTGAATATTCAGAAACAACCGATAAATTTTAAAATCAGTGGGGCTGAAACCTGAGGATCTCTAATGTTTTATTTCCTCAGTCTCGGAAAGCTGGGAACAGTAACCAATGCCATCTTTCACTGACCTCACAGCCTAAACTCTAACGGGTTCTTGGTTGATATGCCATACTGCTTCCCTGAATAAATTAGCGTATGCACAAAGCCTGAGTCCCAGAAGAGACAATCAATAGGTATCAGTCTCAATCTTCCTTAGTAGGGATGTTTTGAGGATTCATAATCAAATTTGATTCATAATCAAAGCACTATTGCCTGGCACATATTAAGGGCTCAATAAATGTTAATTTTCTTCTTTCTGGCCTTTTCCTTATAGTTAAACAAAAACATAAAAACCATGACATTTTTAAATGTGAAACTCTGATAAATTTGAAAGAACATTCTGTGGACCCAAAAATAAAAAAAATGATATCTTCTAACTAAATATAATGTTTGTGAAACTGATTTGCATTTCAAATTTTGGCAGTACACCTATGAAGGGTGTCTCTGGCTCAGAACTCTGGCAAGAGGTGATGAGGACTTGAACTAAGGTGGTGGCAGGAGATTGGAGATAAATGGTTATAAGAGGCGGGATAGCAGAATTGTCAGGCCTTAAGTGCTGTCGACAGACAACCTGGGTTCCATCTCAGCGCCAACCCCTGCTAACTATGTGATTCAAGCACTTGTCTTACTTTCCAATCTGCGAAATAAAGAGAAATGTATTCTATCTTCACTGATGGATATGAGGATTAAATGAGACAATACATGTAAAGCACTTAGCATGGCTCCTGACATGTTTGTGCAATAAATGTTGGCCATTATTAATACCTGGAGATTATCACTGTGTGACTATTCCCAATTAAAAAATACGTGTTCTACTATTTAGTCTCAAACTGGTCCCTGATCACATGAAAACCTTGAGAAAAAATGGTCCCTCCATGTGGAGATGGGACAGTTTGTTTTGTGGGAAAAGAATGCAAGTGAAGCCTGGATGTGGTGGCTCATGCCTATAATCCCAGCACTTTGGGAGGAAGAGGATCACTTGAGGCCACGAATTCAAGACCAGTCAAGGCAACATAGCAAGACTGTCTCTACAAAAACTGAAAAAAGAATAAAAATTAAAATATTTAATTGCCATAACAGACTGTCAATCTTGGGACCTGAAAAATCTAGCATTCAGTTTTTGAGTCTCATTTTAACCAATAACATAGAATTCTGGTGTCCCGGGTATTAGAAAGCTCAGAATTATTAAACTGAGAGACCATTCAATAACTGCCAACATTTGGTTGAAAAAATACGTTTGAGAAACAAAATCATGTACCCATCCATTTCCCAAGGGGTTCTAAGTGCTAGTCTCTGACTCATGATAAAAGGCCTAGGAAAATTAGCTTTCTATTAAAATATTTTCGCTAAATTTTGTTTTAATTCAGAGTCAATAAAAAACATACCTGTCTGAAAAAATATGTTGTATTGCCAGGAAAGCTGCTATTAGAGACATCACCCATTAAATTATCTCTAAGATACCAGGTAAAATTTTTTCTTGGATATTTATGGTATGAAAATTCACCCCTGAAGAAATAATATATTTGTGTGCTTCTTTTTAATTTTTAATCAATAACTACATTGTTTTATTGTGGCATCCAGGGATCTCATAATTAAATTTCCTGTCCAAGTATAATATGATTTACGCTTAAAGTTAACAAAATTGGTAAAACTGTTTTCCACCTTTTTCTACTATGATTTGCCTGTCATTATAAAAATACAGCTGAAGAAGATAGTCAGGAATTGATACTTAATAGGTGGTCAACAGATATTGATTCCCCCCAACATACTTCAATCTACTAATAAATTTTCATTCGTTTAGATATTATTAACCATTATACATGAGATTTTAGTTGTAGCTATATAAATTTTTTAAAGTAGGGTACACGTGACTTATCAGTAATGGCCCTCAATATATATGGTTCTGATTGAAGTATTACATAAATATTTATTGGATGCCTATTATGTGGCATAACAAAACCATATGGTATGGGTAATGACAATTTAAATAAATTTAGCTCAATAAATAAATCAAAATGTTGGGAACAGATTATGTGCTCCTTTGGCCTTGTTAAGGAAATGTTATACTACATAAGTAATATATAATCATTGGAAGAACAAATTTAAAAATGGAAATTATGAAAATAAAGAAATTAGTATTAAAATCACTTGCAAGCCTGTTGAGACAGTCTTTATTACTATTTTGCTGTATATTTGCTTATCCTTTTTTCAAGCAAATTTATTCATATAAATACATATTTTACTTAAATTTAGAATCAAATCACTTACATTATAGTTCAATATATTTTAAATGGTATTTCATATCACTTAATATAGAGGGACACCATTTTTGATGATTGCATAGCATTCGATTGTATAGATACACCTTCACTAGATAAACGAGTCCTATACTGTTGACCATTTAATTATTCATCATTTGAAAAGAAATTGTCTTATCTCACTACAAATTGGGCTTTTTGTAAGTATTGGATTTGTAGAACTATCTTAGAGAAACCAGTCTAAAGAGAGGGAAAACATCCTAAGTTTAACTACTTTAAACCAGTGATGTGAGTGTGAGCACCTAGCACAGGAAAATGGGCAAGCGCTTGCCCTCCAACAGGTGTGTGAATTGTTAAAGGGATTTGAAGAGGAAAATTTGCAAGGTTCTCACCATGTGCATATCCTTTCAACTGGCAATCCCACCTTAATTCAATTAAGAAAGTAATTGAACTAGTGGCATATGTATTTATACAAATTAATGCTTCTCAGCAGTGTTAATATAAGGCAGGAGAAGATTTAAAGAGGCTTCTTCTATCCCTATTTTTTTTTACAGTACTTAGAAGTTTTAATCTATTTTTACATTTATGAAATTAATTCCCCTAGAATTTATTTTGCCATAATGTGTGAAAATGTAACTAGTTTGTTTCCTGATAATTAGTCATGTGTCCCAATACCATTTACTGAATAGTCTGTCTTATCCACAATGATGTCAATAAAACATTTTTTAACATTTTTTAAGCATATATTTATGTGAGCTTCTGTATTTTTTGTTCTGGTCCACAGGTTTACCCTCTATTATGATGGTGACATCAGACAGCTTTTATCACTGTAATTCATTAATTTTGAAAACATTTCTCTAATTAACTGTTCAACAAATATTTATTGCAGGTCTGCTTTTTATAAGACATAATAGCTGACACTATGAGCAAAAGAGACAGAGCTGTTGCCATTATGTGGCTTACAGTTTAATGAAGAAGATGGACAACAATCTCACAAGTAAATCTATACCTACAAAGTATGAGAAGTCCTGAAAAAGGAAGGTACAGGTAACTGGGAAGGAATACATGATTAACTCTATGGTGTCAGGGGGGCTTCATTCCCTCCAATTAATGTTTTCTTCCAGAATTTCCTTTACTAGATATATTCTACAAACGTCAGATATATTTTCAAGTTTTTAAACAAATTTGATCCATACTTTAATTAGAGTTGAATTAAATTTGTAATTGAATTCAGGAAGATTTCATGTATTTGTAATATTAAACATTTACAGCTAAGCACAAGGTGTATTTCACTTTAACTATGTATTTTTTGAAAATCCCATTAGGAAGTCAATTTTTTTTGGATGAAACTTGGATACGTCTTAATAAATTTGATATCAGACATTTAATTATTTTTGCTGTAGTTGTTAATGGTATCTGTTTTCATATGATTTTAAAAGTCACTTACTGGCATACAGGATAGCTACGAAGACTTGCATATTTGATGATATATGTCATTTAATAGTAATATTAGTAATATAGTAATATTCTATACCATATAAGTTGTCTATTGCAACTGTTTTTTATTCTTGGTATTTCTAGTGGATCATCAAATAATTAGTTTTTTCATTTCAATATTCATACTGATTTTTAACATTTTAATTGATTTTACTGGCTACCTCTTTCTTAGCATTGTAATATAAAATTGATGACAGATAGCAAGTGTGTTTGTCTTTTTCCTGACTTTAGGTTGATTTAAATGCAATTCTTCTAGTGTTACACAAACATACATGATGCTAATTGTTGGTTTGCTATAAAGTTTATAGTGTTTGGAAATATATTTCCAGCATAGTAAAAGTATTTTTAACTAAAATATAAATGTTCTTCAAACTTATCAAATAGATTTAAAGCAATGAAGGGGATGCTCATGCTCATCTTTTTCTTTCTGTCCTAGAGGTATAGTAATTTATATTAATAAATTTCCTAATATTGAACTATCTTTGAGTGAATAGCTGAATTCTATCTCCAATCATTTACTAAAAATATTTGTACTGTATTTGTGAGTTTAATCCATAGTTCCCTTATTTTTTCTTTCTTTTTTCTTAATCTTTTATTCATCCTTTTATTCTGAAAACAGCATTTCTGATATCAGAATTTCCAGACTTTTCTTATAATTGGGAAATTTTTTCTCTTTTATTCTATACAAGATGTTAGATGACTTAAGAATTTCTGTTTCTTGAGGTTTTTTTGAATGACGTTATCCAAAAACTTCTGTGTGCCTAGCGGCTTTTAAAGGGGAAGCTTCTTTGATAATTTTCTTTGATAATTTTTTCAGCATTTTCTATAGTCAATAATCTATTCAGGTTTTACTAGTTTGTAATAATATTTGGTCATCTATATTTTTATACTAGTTAAATTCACTAATATTTATCAAATGTTGTCAGATGTGCTCTTAAAATCAATTTTATTTCTTCTTTGTTTGTAATTATATAAACTTTACAGGTTGAATTTGGAATATTTTTATTTTCCTTTTTTTTTTTTGAGATGGATCCTTGCTCTGTCGCCTAGGCTGGAGTGCAGTGATGCAGGCTTGGCTCACTGCAACCTCCGCCTGCCGGGTTCAAGTGATTCGTCTGCCTCAGCCTCCCAGTAGCTGGGACTACAGGCACGCACCACCACGCCCGGCTAATTTTTGTATTTTTAGTAGAGATGGGGTTTCACCATACTGGCCAGGCTGGTGTCAAATTCCTGAGCTCGTGATCCGCCGCCTCGATCTCCCAAAGTACTGGGATTACAAGCGTAAGGCACCGCGCCCGGCCTTTTCTTTTCCTTTTTCCTGCTTTTGTTGTTTGTTTGCTGTTTTCTTCCAGCTTTCCAGGTAGGCTCAGTTAATCTCACTCTGTCCCTTTGGTTTCTTGCTTAATAATGACAGCCCTTAAGGTAAATAATCTTTCTCTAAGAATAGTTTTTGGCTACATCTTATGTGCTTTGGTAGATAGAATTCTAAATTATTTTTTATTTTCTAAATAATCTATAATTATAGATCTGATTGTTTTTTAACTCAAGTGTTATCACACACGTACATTAATGTGTATATGTATTTTTATTTCATATATATGTATAAATATATGCATATATGTATATATATTTAATACTGAAGTCAGAATATTTTTGTGTTTATAAATTATAATTTTATACTTGTTTAGAAATTGTGATAATTTCTAGTTTTATTTTATTGTGGTTAGACCACATGGACTAATGTCGGAATTTATTGAGGTTTTCCATTTTTAAAAATATTCTATGAGTACTTAAAAATAATGTATATTCCCAATTTTTGTGAATTCCAAAGTCTTGGTGATTTATTGGTTGGTCTATTTGGTGGTAGGGTGAAGCAAGGAAACTACTAAGCTGTTCTCTCCATCAGCTGGCTTCTCCACATCTCTCCAAATTTATCATTCTCAATCCTTATGGCTGCTTCTTTTTAGGGAGATCTAATCTAGTCCGACTTTCTTTATACATCTTACTTTTCCCTGCCTGGTTTGCTTTTGCTATTTCTTTACTCTGTCTTGTCTTTGAAGTCTCTACTAATCCACAATCAGCAGTTCATTTAAAAGAGTCATCCTTTCATCCTTTTACCTCCTGGCATCCTCACCTAACTAACCCATACTCTCTCTTTTGCTGAGGCTGTGGATGGCAAACGCCTTTAATTGCCTACTCCATAGTGATTTTCCCATAATTACTGACAGAACTCTGCTTTTGTTTATCACAAATATATGCCTAGCCCCAAAGCAATGGATTGTGATTAGGTTAGACCAATTATGGCAATCCTGGAACCTACTATTCCAGATTACAATTCAGGTAAGTGTGGCCCTGCAACTCAGATAAAAAAGAATAGTATTTGGATTTGCATGGATTTTGAAAAGCATTTGGAAAAGTCTGCTAGACAGTATGATTTGGGGGAAAGCTTTAACTTTCTAAAGAGATTCACTGCCTTCCCTAATTTCTTTCTGACTTAAAGGAGAATGTGATGATTTGAAACTATTAGGAAAATGTTGAGAGAGCTGCAGAAACATTGGCACTCGTCAATATACTAACAACATTTCAGCACCAAACATCCTCTATAATGTATATCCCTATTTAAAAATATATAAAGAAAGAATTATAGTTGGGCTGTTTTGTTACTTGCAGCCAAATGCATTTCTAACTGCTAACAATATTTCAGCACCAAACATCCTCTATAATGTATATCCCTATTTAAAAATAAAGAAAGAAAGAATTATAGTTGGGCTGTTTTGTTACTTGCAGCCAAATGCATTTCTAACTGATACATTAGATTTATATCCCCTTCTGTGTTGCGTTATAATTATCCTTCCATTTCTTTGCATATATTTAACTGTCTTAACTAGTTTGAAATTACTTATATTCAGGAAATTTTCTTATTTTTAATTTGTATCTGGAAATAGCTTAAGTCAGAACTCAGCACATGATTAGCATTTAATTATGCAATTACTTAGCACAGCTAAAATGTATTAAGTACTCTCTATGTACTATACAGTCTTTTAGGTGTTTTACATATATTCATTATTTATTCTCCAAAACCACTGTATAAGGCTACTATTTTTATATTCCCATTCTCACAGATTAGGAAGCTAAGGTACAAGGTCATACATACCTAACCCATGTCCTGTTTAGGAAAAAAAAGTGCAGCTCGCTGCCAGCACTCATTTCTTGGGGCAAATGGAAAATGGGTTAAGAGGCAAAGCCAAAGTCTGAACTGAAGAAATCTGGCCCCAAAGCCCATGCTCTCAATAACCAGATATACTATCTCTTATTTGATACATGATTTCAATTTTTTTAATTTGGCAATGATTTTTTGCATACCCATATATTTGGCAAACATACAAACACACATGCCTACTCTCACATATATAACACAACCCCCAAAGAACTCTTTACTTGATATTACAATCTGTTTAATAAACAGTCATCCTTTTCCAGGAAGTCCCTGTTTTAGTAGCTCTGGTAAATCGTTGAGTCCCTTCTTCATTCAAAAGATTAATTTCAGCATTTTCCCTCAAAGGCTAGCTAAAACCAGAACCTGCCACAATTCTAACTACTAGATTGTTTCAAAACAAAGGTAGTCATTTTATATAAAATAAGATTTGACCTGAATCTTCACCCTTTATTGGACTGAACCCAAAACCTCAACATTTCTGAAGCTTTGAGAACGAACTTCGGGTTGCTTCCTCACTTTTGTTTTTATACACCTCTTCACTCTTTGGGTTTGTCCAGGATGAAAAACTGAGTGACCAAAATAGCAGAGAGAAGATGCCCTTCGAGGCCCAGTAGAGCCAAGAAATAGTAAAAATTTAGGTAGAAAGCTGCTGTTTTTTAAAAAAATTTATAGTGTCATTTCTAAATCACTATTGTTTAAATAGAAAATCAGACGTTTATGTGACTAACAAAATATAATGTTATTTTATTATAACAAAATTTTGGACTCTCTCACTAACAAACATATAGTAAATTGATTAATGTAGAGTCCCTTAAAACATTACAAGTTTTGTGACCTTGGGCAAGGCACTTAACCTGCTTAGCCATCTATAACAAGGTTAATAATGGTGACTACAGCTAGGATTGACATGAGTTATATATGAGCTGATGCTTATAAGGTATCCTCATCATTATTGTCACAGAACAGCTAATATGTACATAGTTCTTACTATGTGTCAGGCTCTATTAGAAGTTTTTTTAACATATTAACTTGTCTAATTTTTACAATAACACTATGAGATACCTGCTGTTATCTTCATTTTAAGAGATGAACAAATTGAGGCACAGAGTGATTAAATAACTTACCTAAATTCACACTGTACATAAAGGATTCAAACCAGGTAATCTGACCCCCATGCCCATGCATTAACCACTGCACTCTAACATGCTCTCAGAAATAACCATTCTTATCACTACATTTTTCAAAATAATGCATAATTATTAAAATTAAATGATATTTCAAATCAAAATAAATATATTCAACATAAACAACCTCTACAGAGAAAGCTGAATTGATGTCTGAAATCAAAATGGTATAGACCTAAAAGAATTTAGGCAAGGCATCTGTATATATGCATGTAGATATGCATATATCTATATTGTCAGGGGTATCTGCAAAAACAGAATTAACTTATGTTTTTATTAAGCTGTTTATTTTGAGATAATTATAGAGTCATATGAAGTTGTAAGAAATAACAAAGAAAGATTTCATACACCTTTTCCTCAATGTTACCCAGAGTAACATCTTGCAAAACTATAGTGCAATATCACAACCAGAGTATTTATTTATATATATAGACAAGATACAGAAATTTCCATCACCGCAAGGATCTCTCATGTTACTCTTTTATAGCCATACCCATGCCACTTCCACTCTTTCCTGGCCTTAGCCCCAAATCACTGATCGGTTATTCACCTCTAGATTTTGTTATATACAAATATCCATATTTCTGAAAGTTTTCACAAATACAAAGTGGCTAATTGATTTTATGAGATTTTGAACTTACTTTGTGTTTATTAGATCCTCATTATCGCCTTACCAAATTGTCTTTAGTCAGGATAGGAGTGGGCTTAAGTGTGAATAATGAGAGAAGTAGCAACATAATGACATAAACAAGAGGATGCTCTACTTCCTCTACAGCAATCTCATTCCTACATATGACTTCTGGTTTCAACAACAGTTTTGTCATTCGTAAGTGTGAAACACTTTTTAGAAGATTTACATTCCAAGGTCTTATATTAATAAACTTTCATTGTAATAACATCATATTTCTGCCATGTACATTGTCGTTTGTGAAACAAGGAAACATAAAGGATTATCTAGGAATGTCAAAAGAAGTTCATTTACCCATAATGAAGGAACTTACATTACTAAAGAATTCTGCACAGAAGTCTCAAGATTTCATATAGAGAGTGACCAACATATCCATAAGCAATGCATAGAAGACAGAAGTTAGTGTGTGTTTGTAGGAGTTGGAGCCATGGGTGATTTATTATTTTATACTTTATTACCTTTTCTGATACTTGTATAATAAGCACACATCACCTTTATGATAGAAAATCATACTTTTTGACAGAAATATGATGAATTAATTTTTCACATTACATGCCACAAGGGCTGTTTTTCTGGAGAAGAAGATATGCAAGTGTATGGAGTCCCTGCATTTAACTGTGGGTGTTTCTGTGTGTCCTGACTTCTTGGTATATTATATTCTAAAAACTGCTTTGCAAGTATTTACTAGAAAGGAGTGATTATCCTATTTATTTTTCTAAATCAAGATAACACTTGAGTTTATTAATAGGCCAGTAAAAATTATATTGCACATAATGCTGCTCAAAATTTGCCTTTTACACTTTTTAAAACATTATTTCCAAGAGACTCTAATGAGTTAAATTTTATTGACATCATATAAGTTATAGTATGTACAACATAGAATGTCAGAATTAGCAATAAATTACTTGATAAGAAAATGTAATCGCTCTGAATTTGTTTATATTCAATAATAAATTATTCTTACATTTTCTTACTCTTCATTCCTATTTGAACAACTCAAGTTTACACTTCGGTTCTCCTGAATTTCTTCTTTCTAGCTTTTGGCTTTATGCTTTGCGTCAGTTTGGTGAATAGTTGAAAAAGTAAACAATAAACTTTTTTCTTTGCTACTCCTTATCCTTTATTTTGATCTTTTTAAACATCTTTGCCCTTTGGTATTTGGAAAGATAAGTGTAATATCTGATATACAAAATGCATTTCTAAAATGATCTAATCGACCAATCCTCAGAGTCTCCAGTTAAGCCAAATATTGCAGTGGTGAATGGTGTACAAAAATAAAAATGTAAGGTCCTTAAGCAAATATAATATTTTTCTAGACTGATCTATACCAAAAAGTCTTTCTTTAGGAACTTACTTATCAAGCAAGCATGAGTGCCCCAAATAATAGCATGCAATTCTATCATTCTGAATATTCTACTGATGGTCAATATTCTGAAGCCAGTCTTTTCCATACATAACTCCTCCCACCTTGTCAAGAGGATGTGGAACATCTGTATAGCATTAAAGGGTAGAGTAAATGCTTCCTCTTCTCTTCAAAGGCAGTTTTGTTCTTTTTGTTTGCTTGTGTTTTCAGCCTAGATACTATGAAGGCAGTCATTTGAAATGTATACAGCCGATTCTTTGTTTAAATGTGGAAGTTGGCACATAGCAAATTCGCTGACTTGTTAGCTCTCTCTTTTTTTGCCTTAATAGTTTGATAATGATTTTAGTGAGCTCACAGAAAAAAGTCACTTTTCTTGTATCTACGCTTTAGCTGCTAGCAAATAGATGGTCAGTAATTCATATCTCAGTAACCTAATAGGCATATTTGATTAAAGTTTATTTAAGCCTTTTCCAATAGGTGCTCTGTGAAATGAAGCAAATAGGAGAGCATCCATCTGATTGGGTTGACTTACCAGCCTCAGCACATTGAGGTGAAATCAAGCATCATTAGGGATTATCCAATACAATTTTAGTGCCTGCTTAGAATTAGGTAGTAGTCACTCAGGAAAAAAACTAGAAACATTATGACTTATGTAGCTTTCAATCCTAGCAAATTACACATTTGCTTAACCTTACCATGCCTGCAAAAGAAATTTTTTCAAAGGTGCTAATGGTCAGACAGCCATGCGGCTCTAGTATAGAAATCAAATTTGTTTGCTTCAGAATCAAGCATAAACAGTGTTACACAAACTGCTCGAGGCTATCTAATGGCTCACCTTTATCCCCCAGCTGAAACCCCACCTGGTCTATGGGAGCCCTGAGTCATCATTCTGTGTTAATGCATTCTGTAGCTATGCATCAGCACCTCTTACTCCTATCCAGAGGCAACTAACTCAGTTTAAGTTCTGTTAAAGTTAACTTAGGAAACATGTAGCCTATAAACAGGGGGAGCATTTGGGAATGTGTGTGTGCATGTGTGTGTGCGTGTGTGTGTGTGTGTGTGTGTGTGTGTGAATGTACTGGCATCTATTAAAACAAAGCTACTCTATCAAAAGTGCTCCATTGTAAGGGGAATATGCGGGCTAATTCCCATATTTCTGTTTATTTGTTTAACTATTAAGTGACATAATACTTGCCTGTAACATTGCTATCTCTATTATGAATGACATAATTATCTTAATTCTCAGTTTTAAAAGTCCTCTGAGCACTTTTTTTCTTCCTTTGTGAAAATTAAAACAGTTACTTCACTACATGCTCTATTGGGATGACTGACAATTGATGAAAACATACCAAGCTCCCACAAATAATTTTAATTTCCATCCAAAATAAAAATGTGTTAATTCCTCATGCCTATAACAAAAATATTTTCATAATGATACTGTTTACACAGATTTAATCGGTTGTGTCACTGGGGTACAGCAAAAACAGCAATGTGACCTGCTGAGATTTAGCACCAGATTGCAATTTACAATCAAGGCAGCAAGAGTCACTGAAGTGCATAGATCTTGCCCCAATTACTAATTAATCAGACCCAAAGAGGCCTCCATAAAAGGCATGACATTCAGCTGTGCATCCCATAAATGTAAAGGCCTCTTCTATATTGTAAGGAGGAAAGGTGACCCACGGAGTCAAATCATTACATGGTACCTCTCTTGTACAAAAGCTCATCCAACACATTCCATTGGGTGCCTACTTATCTTTCTCCACTCCTTTTTTAAATGTTCTGAATACAAAATTTCACACTATGGCAGTAGCCCAGCATCATTAAAATGTCAGTATGCTGGTTTCTGTATAAAAACAAGTGACTGGCTTGCTTTTTTGAGTTTCTGTATCTGTACAAGTCTTTTTTCCTCTGCAGCTAGTGTCTATAGAAAATTATGGGGTATAATAGGTAAATGTATTTTAAGAGTGTGTTGGGAATTGTGGGGAATAGCAATCAGTGTAATTCAGTTCAGTCCAACTTCTACCCAACTTCCTCAAATGAAAAATATATTTGATCCCCTTCACATGGGGATCAGATAATAGAAGTTTTACGAACTGCTGTGCTTCGACAAAAAAGATTCCAATTGAGTAGTCTAAAAGAAAACATGCGTTGCTGACTTGTTTATTTTAACCATCTTTAAAATAACGAGCCGGATTCTCATTTTTCTTCCTTTCCTGGATCCCTCCTCTATGTGGAGCATTCCCTTTGAAGTAAATGTCAGCCCTGGACCTAGAGGAGATCTGCAAGGGGAAGGAGCAAAATGAGAATCAGGCTGCTGATTTCAGATTCTTGATGGATGGCCTGGCCAAATGAAAGCTAAAATGATTTGAGTCATGTTGCATTAACCACACATTGTTCTGTATGGGCCACCCTTACACACAGGATCAGACCTGAAGGCAGGGATATTAATACCATCATATGTGTGCAGGAAGAACGACCAATTGCAGAATTGATAACTACTTTATCAGAGATTTTGATGATGCTATCTGTCCCCACTTTTGCTTACACGGGATTTCTGGAAACTGTCATGAAACAGGTATCATAAAGCAAATTATGTTTTTGCAGAGGAAAGGTACAATGACAGGAATTTTGCATTCTTAACCAAAGATCACATTGTGTAAATCATAGCTGTAGCAAAATAAGCTATGATAAGGTAAAAATGCAACAGCTATAAGTCACGATAAGATTTTTTTTTTCTTTTTTGAGAAGGAGTCTTGCTCTGTCGCCCAGGCTGGAGTGCAATGTTGTGATCTCGGTTCACTGCAACCTCTGCTTCCCGGGTTCAGCAATTCTCCTGCCTCAACCTCCCAAGTAGCTGGGATTACAGGCGCCCGCCACCATGCCTGGCTAATTTTTGTATTTTTTAATATATACCAGGGTTTCACCATGTTGGTCAGGCTGTTCCCAAACTCCTGAGCTTAGGTGATCCACCTGCCTCGGCCTCCCAAAGTGCTGGGATTACAGGCATGAGCCACCATGCTCGGCCCATGATAAGGACTTAAAACAGCTTACTTATGCTTCAGGTCCTAAATGCACATTGTACACTGAGTAGAGGAGGGATCACAACATCCATAACCTGGTATTTTTAGTCCCTGTCTGCCATTAAGGGGCTGTGTGATCAGGCATGAACATCCCCCCCAAACTCTCTCCTTGTCTATAACCTGAACATACCATATTATCACCATTTACGGTATGTATCAATATTCTATTGAATTGCTAGTATTTATGTTTATTTATTTCCTTAGCACATAGAGGAGGAATACATAAAATCCGTATCACTTAAAAAGTAGATAAGGTTTGAGCTGATATGTTTTCTTTCTCTTGATGACTTTCTCTTCTGTAAATAGAAATGGATGATGAAGATGGTGGTGGTACAATTTCAACAATAATTTTCATTGTATTAAGAATTTAGCATGTGATGAGCATGCTGCTAAGTGCCTTCTGGTCCCTTTTGTACCCTCACAACTCCATGAGGCTTTTATCACCCCCATTTTCACGTGAGACAACTGAGATATGAGAAGTTACATTACACTCAGCTAGCACTTTCCACCTCGACTCACCCCAATGTGGGGATAAGAAAGAGCTTTTTTACTTGCTTTTAAATTCAGCATTTTATTGACCCCCAAAACAGGGCAAACACTGCTGGACAAAGTGGATTGTTTCAGGCATTTCATGTATTTTTTTCTTGTTACTGTTGTAGCTGATGGTTTGATTCTTCCACCAGAAAAAGTACTTCTGCACTTCCCTACTATCGAGTCCCCTCAAAGTTAGAACAACTGTTTAATTCAGACCAAGTAGCACTTACCAGAAAGGAGGAAGGGCAGATAAAAAATTCTCGTGTGACCTTTCTGATTACATCTCTTGAGTGTGTAACAGCCATTACACACTTAGGGTCCTTATACACTTAGTTGGCAATTCATTGAGAGCATGACCATGTCATTAAGCTGACTGCTTTTGAGTTTAGATCTTGTTTCAGAAACTGCTGAAAAGCAGGGCCAGCTACATAATTTACCTGGACCAAATGTAAAACAGCCACCTGGGATATCAATCTCCCCTTAGCATGGGTCACTGCCCTCACCCATAGAGGATGGGAGACCCCTCAGGGATTACTACTTCTGTGCTAGAACACCCTTGGCATCTAGTTCAGGGTGGGCAACAGGCCCCCAACAAGCGTCCTGCCAAATGCACTGTGGTGCTTCCAGCTAGTAGCCAGATGGATAGTTAGGATACCATGAGGCACCCCACCCTCTCCAGTGCCCAGGGCACCTCAGTGCAGAGAGTGGAGGCAGACTGTGAGTTCCTCCATCCTACTCCCACCTCACAGGACCTGTATCCATCTCTTCTGGAGGATAGCAGAGGTATGGAGGGAGACCTGGCAGGGTCTCCTGCCCCACGGGCAGCTGAGACTCTGTTGGGGGTGGGGGATGGAAGGTGTATGGAAGAAGAGTGAGAACTAGACCACACTTGCACCGGGGTTCCCCACACTCAGCGCAGGCTCTGTTGTTCTGTTAAACTTCACTTGCAAAACACAAATTCCAAGACAAAAATTAAAAATTTCAAGAGGACCACCAGAGAACATTAAACCCCAAGTACTGAAACCTTGTGAGCAAAGGTGCTGTATTACTACACTGGTCACACACCCATGAGCCAGGCTTGCTAAATGGTTGTTCAAGACTATCCACAGGCTGGGTGAGGTGGCTCATGCCTGTAATCTCAGCACTTTGGGAGGCTGAGGCAGGAGGATTGCTTGAGGCCAGGATTTTGAGGCAAGACTGGAGAACATAGTGAGACCCCATTTCTATAAAAAATTTTTACGAATCAGCTGGGTGTGGTGGTACACACCTGTAGTCCCAGCTACTTGGAAGGCTGAGGTGAGAGGATTACTTGAGGCCGGGAGTTTGAGGCTATGGTGAGTTATGATCATATTCTAGCTTGGGCAACAGAGCAAGACCTTGTTTCAAAAAAAGAAAAAAAAAAAAGAGACTAAATATCAGGCTGCGTGGGAATAAGTGAAGTTGAAGTACTAAACCAAAGGAGGAAATTGACTTAATTTGCATTAAACATACTATTCCACAAATTCTGTGGGGCAGCATGACTAAATTGTGCCATTCTGTCTGTATTAGTCAGGGTTCTCTAGAGGGACAGGACTAATGGGATAGATGTGTATATGAAGGGGAGTTTATTAAGGAGTATTGACTTACACAGGTGAAGTCCCACAATAGGACATCTGCAAGCAGAGGAGCAAGGAAGCCAGTCTGAGTCCCAAAACCTCAAAAGTAGGGAAGCTGACAGTGCAGCCTTCAGTCTGTGGTCAAAGACCCAAGAGCCCTTGGAAAACCACTGATGTGGGTCCAAGAGTCCAGAAGCTGAAGATCTTGGAGTCTGATGTTCGAGGGCAGGAAGCACCCAGCATGGGAGAAAGGTGGAGGCCAGAAGACTTAGCCGGTAGAGTCCTTCCTCTGCCTGCTTTTATCCTAGCCACACTGGCAGCTGATTAGATGGTACTCACCCAGATTGAGGGTGGGTCTGCCTCTCCCAGTCCCCTGACTCAAATGTTAATCTTCTTTGGCAACACCCTCACAGACACACCCAGAAACCATACTTTGTATCCTTCAATTTAATCAAGTTGACACTCAATATTAACCATTACACTGTCCATCACTGCTCTCTCTTCAACCATCTTCTAAAACGTCCTTGCCACTTCCCCACTGAGATAACTTACAAGGGCAAGCCAGTTGCTCCCCAGAATTGCCATCTTGGTTATTTCCTTAATAAAATTTATCCAAAAGGAGCCTTTTCCCTAAGACGCCAGAGATTCTTACAAAAATACGTTTAGTCGGCCAGGTGCGCTGGCTCACATCTGTAATCACAGCACTTTGGGAGACCAAGGCGGGCGGATCCCAAGGTGAGGAGATCGAGACCATCCTGGCTAACATGGTGAAACCCCATCTCTACTAAAAAATATTAAAAAATTAGCCGGGCGTGGTGGCAGGCACCTGTAGCCCCAGCTACTCGGGAGGCTGAGGCAGGAGAGTGGCGTGAACCCGGGAGGTGGAGCTTGCAGTGAGGCATGATTGCGCCAATGCACTCCAGCCTGGGCGACAGAGCAAGACTCTGTCTCAAAAAAAAAAAAAAAAATGTTTAGTCATCAAATATATACAATTATGTTTTTGTATAACTTAGAATGCTCACCTTCTCCAGAAAAATTACATTCAAATATTAGAACTTCTATAATATGTAAAGCATATTTTAATTGCAGGTTTTTAGAACCATATTCACCACCATAAACCATAATAAATTTGTTAATTATATTTTAGTCACCTTTCTTTCTTTCTCAGAACTTAAACGGATATTTTGGTCTGTTTCTTAATATTTCTTCTGTGCAGTTGTAGGAAACCTAATTTTCTTTTTTCTATTCCAGTGACTTATGATGATGAAACATCATATGTATAAAGTGTGTTAAATAAAGCATATTTACACATAATTCTGTGAGCTGGTTGGAATAAATGTTATTGCATTAATCTTATAAATGAGGATAAAAATGGTTCTAAGGCCAAAAAAGAGCCTGTATAGCCAAGACAATCCTAAGCAAAAAGAACAAAGCTGGAGGCATCACGCTACCTGACTTCAAACTATACTATAAAGGCTACACTAACCAAAACAGCATAGTATTGGTACCAAACAGATATATGGACCCATGGAACAGAACAGAAGCCTCAGAAATAACACCACACGTCTGCAACCATCTGATCTTTGACAAACCTGACAAAAACAAGAAATGGGGAAAGGATGCCCTATTTAATAAATGGTGTTGGGAAAACTGGCTAGCCATATGCAGAAAACTGAAACCGGACCCCTTCCTTACACCTTCTACAAAAATTAACTCAAGGTGGGTTAAAGACTTAAATGTAAGACCTAAAACAATAAAAACCCTGGAAGAAAACCTAGGCAATCCCATTCAGGACATAGGCATGGGCAAGGACTTCATGACTAAAACACCAAAAGCAATGGCAACAAAAGCCAAAATTAACTAACGGGATCTAATTAAACTAAAGAGCTTCTGCACAGCAAAAGAAACTATCATCAGAGTGAACAAGCTACCTACAGAATGGGAGAAAATTTTTGCAATCTATCAATCTGACAAAGGGCTAATATCCAAAATCTACAAAGAACTTAAACAAATTTACAAGAAAAAAGCAACCCCATCAAAAAGTGGGAGAAGGATATGAACAGACACTTTGGAAAAGAAGACATTTATGTGGCCAACAAACATATGAAAAAAAGTTCATCATCACTGGTCATCAGAGAAATGGAAATCAAAACCACAGTGAGATACCATCTCATGCCAGTTAGAATGGCGACCATGAAAAAGGAAACAACAGATGCTGGAGAGGATGTGGAGAAATAGGACGTTTTTACACTATTGGTGGGAGTGTAAATTAGATCAACCATTGTGGAAGACGGTGATGATTCCTCAAGGATCTAGAACCAGAAATACTATTTGACCGAGCTTTCCTATTACTGGGTATATACCCAAAGGATTATAAATCATTCTACTATAAAGAAACACGCACATGTATGTTTATTGCAACACTGTTCACAATAGCAAAGACTTGGAACCAACCAGCCCATCAATGATAGACTGGATCAAGAAAATGTGGCACATATACACCATGGAATACTATGCAGCTATAAAAAGGATGCATTCATGTCCTTTGCAGGAACATGGATGAAGCTGGAAACCATCATTCTCAGCAAACTAACACAAGAACAGAAAACCAGATGTTCTCGCTCATAAGTGGAAGTTGAACAATGAGAAGATATGGACACAGGGAGGGGAACATCACACACCGGGGCTGTCAGGGGGTGGGGGGCTCGAGTAGGGATAGCATTAGGAGAAATACCTAATGTAGATTACGGGTTGATGGGTGCAGCAAACCACCATGGCATGTGTATACCTATATAACAAACTTGCACGTTCTACACATGAATCAGAACTTAAAGTATAATTTAAAAATTATTCTTAAAGAAAAAGAAAAATGACAATCGTATATGATTCCCATACTTTTCCTAACTTACAGTTCTGTGAAATCTAAACTTCAGAAACAGTTGTTTATAATGGAACATACTAAAGATCATACATATGTCTTTAAAAAGGTGGTTCCAAGGTTCTGATAATTTGCCTAAAATTATAGGAGAGTGGATGTCTGAGCTAGGTGTAGGCCCCTGGCTTCCCAGTGCTGGGCAGCTCCTCCTCTTCACTGTCTACATGTCCTAGGATCAGACGTTCTCATAGCACCATGTGGCAAGGCTGGTGGGTGAAGTATGTTCATAGGCACCTGCTTTGTGCTTGGTGCTTTTCATGTGATCACAATGTCTCTTCACTACCTCCAAAATATGTAGAATTGCCTGAATACTGAAAGGTTTTTGCTTTGATTTTTTATATAATCTCCCTATGTCCCAACAGTGGGAAGAGTGAAAACTTTCTGAAACAAAATAGAGCATAAACTAAGCCATGTAAAATAGAACATAGGTCATGTATTTGTGACAGTAGACACGACACTCATTTTGTGAAAAGTTGGTAAATTAAAAAATGCCTAAGTGTCTTCGTGTGAAGGCCTCTGCCAGAGAGAAGTCAGAACATCTGCACACAGACCATTATGTTCCCAATATCAGGTAGGATTAATGCTTTAATGTATATATAGGGAGAGTGAGGCTCAGAGAGATTACATAGCGTGGGCAAGATCACAGGGTTAAGATCCAAACACAAGTCTTTGTGACTCCAAATCCCACACTCTTTCGCACTCTCCTTCATGTTCAGGAGAGTATGTTTCTTGAGTTCTCTCTGCAGAAGACATCATTGTGCAAAGAAAGCTCTGAGCAGAGCAGGGAAACCTCCTCAGATTTTTCAGCCTGTTAGAATCCAGACAGTGAGAAAGCTGCTGCTTTGATGAGCTACAACTGCATTCTGTTGCTGAGAACCTCAGTTCCCCAGTGTGTAAAGAGGGTGAGGGTAGGAGGAAAAGCAACACAGTTCCAAAAGAATAGTGGAGTTGAATACTGAATTCAAGGACAGATACAGAAACTCACATTGACTCATTCATTAATGAATGAAAGGTGAATATAAGAAGGGTATATTAGATTACCCTAAATAATGTTCTAATCAAACCAAGGGCATGGGGCAGTGAAATATGTGTGAATGAGGAGGACAGAGACTCATGTGTGCTGTATGTCACAACATTCTGTGCTATGCTTCTTTTAAATCTACAAAGTAATTCCTTTAATGTCTTATGCTTTTCCTCTATGGCACATCCTTTCTTTGAGGATCAGGAATTATTACCAGTTCCATAGCATTCTAGGAATCCCTGATTACTTGTACAAAGCTATAAATACTGTGCATAGTCTATGTGCCTATTAGAAATCTTATTAGAAAAAAATTGACAATGGAACCCCACGTTTGAAAGGGTGAAATTGGAATGTGCAACACATCATATTTCTTCTCTGCTGGCAGAATAAGTGAATAGCATGTCTCTTTTCCATACCATTTTTAGCTCTAGAAGTGAAGTGAGTATTGTTTCACAGGAAGGAAGTACAACTTCTGCAAGACCACTTTCATATCAGATTTTTTTTTTTGATATTTTATTTTAGGTTCAGGGATAGATGTGCAGGTTTGTTATATAGGTAAGTTGTGTGTCAAGGGGGTTTGGTCTACAGATTATTTCATCAGCGAGCTGATAAGCATAATACCTGATATGTAGTTTTCTGATCTCTCCCTTCTCCCACCCTCCACCCTCAAGTGGGCCCCAGTGTCTGTTGTTTCCTTCCTGGTGTCCATTTGTTCCCAAGGTTAGCTCCTACTTATAAGTAAGAACATACAGTATTTGGTTTTCTGTTCCTGCATGAATTCACATAGGATAATGGCCTCCAGCTCCAACCATGTTGCTGCAAAGAACACGATGTGACTCTTTCTGTGGCTGTGTAGTATTCCATAGTGTATATATACCACATTTTCTTTGTCCAGCCTATCGAGCATTTAGGTTGAATTCCACGTCTTTGCTATCGTGAATAGTGCTGCAATGAACATACACATGCATATGTCTTTATGGTAAAACAATTTATATTACTTTAGGTATATACCCAATAATAAATTGCTGGGTCAAATATTAAGTTATCTGAGAAACTGCAATACTGCTTTACACAATGAATTAATTTACATTCCCACCAGCAGCGTATGAGCATTTTATTTTCTCTGCAACCTTGCCAGTATCTTGTTGTTGTTTTTTTTTTTACCTTTTAATAGTAGCCATTCTGACTGGTATGAGACAGTATCTAACTGAGGTTTTGATATGCATTTATTTAACAATTTGTTATAATGAACTTTTTTTTCATATGCTTTTTGGCTGCATGTGTGTCTTCTTTTGAAAAGTGTCTGTTCATGTCCTTTGCTTTCTGATGAGGTTGTTTTTTGCTTGTTAATTTAAGTTTCTTATAGACTCTGAATATTAGACCTTTGTTAGATGCATAGTTTGCAAATATTTTCTTTTTTTCTGTAGGTTGTCTGTTTACTCTGTTGGTAGTTTCTTTTGCTGTGCAGAAGCTCTTCAGTTTAGTTAGGTCCCATTTGTCAATTTTTGTTTTTATTGCAACTGCTTTTGGTGTCTTCATCATGGAATCTTCATCAGGGACTACATCAAGAATGGTATTTCCTAGGCTATCATGTAGAGTTTTTATTGTTTTAGGTTTTACATGTAAGTTTTTTATACATCTGGAATTGATTTTTGTACATGGTACGAGGAAGGGGTCCAGTTTTAAACTTCTGCATATGGCTAGTCAGTTATCTCAGCGCCACTTATTAAATAGAAAATCTTTTCCCCATTGCTTGTTTTTGTTATCTTTGTTGAAGATCAGATGGTTGTAGGTGTGCAGCTTTATTTCTGGGTTCTCTATTGTGTTCCATTGGTCTGTGTCTGTTTTTGTACTAGTACTGTGCTGTTTTGGTTACTGCAGCATTGTAGTATAGTTTGAAGTTGAGTAACATGATACCTCCAGCTTTGTTTTTTGCTAAGAATTGACTTGGCTATTCAGGCTCTTTTTTGGTCCCATATGAATTTTAAAATAGTTTTTTCTAATACTGTGAAGAGCATCATTGGTGATTTGATTAAAAATCATTGAGTCTGTAAATTGCTTTGTGTAACATGGTCATTAATATTGCATCTTCCTAACCATAAGCATAGTATGTTTTTCCATTTGTTTCTGTCATCTCTAATTTCTTTGAGCAGTGTTTTGTACTGCTTATTGCAGAGATTTTTTTCACCTACAAAAACCACATGATCATCTCAATAGATGCAGAAAAAGCTTTCAGCAAAATTCAACATGACTTCATGTTAAAAACTTCCAACAAACTAGGCATTGAAGGAACATACTTCAAAATAGTAAGAGCCATCTATGACAAACCCACAGCCAGCATCGTACTGAACAGGCGAAAGCTGGAAGCATTCCCGTTGAGTACCAGGATGAGACAAGAATGTCCACTCTCACCACTCCTATTTGACATAGTACTGAAAGTTCCAGCCAGATAAATCAGTCAGTAGAAAGAAATAAAAAAGCATCCAAATAGGAAGAGAAGAAGTCAAACTATCTCTGTTTTCAGACTGTATGATTCTATACCTAGAAAACCCCATAGTCTATCCGAAAGCTCCTAGATCAGATAAACAACTTCAGCAAAGTTTTAAGATACAAAATCAATGTGCAAAAATCAATAGCATTTTTGTACACCAACATCCAAACTGAGAGCCAAATCAAAACACAATCTCATTCACAATAGCCACAAAAATAATGAAATACCTAGGAATTTAATGTCAGACTTCAAACACAGCTTTGAGATAGATCAAAGGCAAAAACAGAAATAGGCTTTCTCTATGCCATCTACATTAAGATGATTTTGGCTATCAACCAGAATTTTTAATGAATAAAAGGGAGTTGTTTATCGTGACTTGGTAAAGCCATTCTGAAACACGTTTCATAAAACGAATTCTTAACATGTTCCACTTCCCTCTACCCTCCACAATAAAAAAGGAAAGAAATATTTTGAAAACTTAGTTACCACAGTAAGATAACCATATTTTATGTATGACTTGATAAAGTACAGTATTTTAACCACTTTGAGGTATAGCTTTTTTCTTGTTAGAAAATATTTTAAGAACACTAAAATTAACTTCTATTATATGACAGTGGTTGGGTATTGGAAGTAGAAATGAGGACGAGGAGAAAGTCCAAAGGTCCTGTGATGTACTCTTGATTGACCTGCATAGTATGTGACCAACTCCAGAGGAATTGCCTTACAAATTTAAAGTATGTATAGTATACAGAATGTTATGAAGCATAGCATGTAAAAATTATTGTCTTTCCCCTTCATGGATATTCTGTACCCATTGCCTTTGGTTTGATTAGAATATTATTTGAAGTAATCTAAAGTATACTCTTCATATTCATCTTTCATTTGTTAATGAATTTCCATAAAAATATTTAAACTTTTCAAGATGTAATATGTGTGTTGTGACTCTGAACATGGAATCTAAATTGGATTCTACATTCCCTTATTTTGCATCAGTTTTAAAACCTATGTTGTTTGTCAGGTAGTTTTGTGCTGTGCCTAAGGTTTAAACTGTAAACCTATGATTTTATATAAAAACAATGCATACAATAGTAAAAAAAAAAAAAAACTACAGCATAGGGTTATTGCATCATTGAAGAGAAATAATTTCCTACATTGCTATTCTGAAAGATCAACCATGCACTTAAAGAGAATGTGTACCAATTCATGTTTGACAACTATACATAAAATCAAATATGAGGTTATTTCTATTTCTTATTTTGTCAAATGCATGGCTATTCCCATAACACTGGCGGGGTGAGTTAGGGAGGGGGAGTCTTTCGACTCTTCCTACCCCTCAACAACATACCAGGGAAATGAAATGCACATCTGTAAATAAATGCATCATTAGATTCTCATCAATTTGTAAGCTTCCCTTGATGTATGGCTAAAATAATCCCACAAGGAAAACTAAAGAAGTGCTTGGTTCCAAGCACATGCCAAATAGATGAAGGGAGGGGGTTGATGAACGGGGACCAAATTATTTAAATGAAGAATTTTGCAGACGCTAGAAATATCTTTTACAACAGTCCAGAATGAGGAACTATTTTAAGTACCCAGCTACCGATGTATTCATTAACAGAGGAGAGCTCTGGACATATTAAAGGAGCACAGTAAAACAACTAATGATGCACTTGAGCAGTAACAGGTTGTCATTAGACCAGCATCTGCTCTCATCAGAGTTAATTATTCAGTTGCCTTGTTTTCCAAGTAGGTGTCTGGTAAAATTTAGCAGAATCTTAATTAAAACACATTTTCAAACTCCTTGGATGCTCATATCATCTAAAGGAATCAAGACAATTTCCACCATAAACATCAAGCTTCAGTTGAGCTATCAAAGGGAAGAAGGAATTCAACCAATATAAGTTGTTAAATATTAACTATTGGGATGCCTGGAGCATGCAGATAAGAAAAACCTACCTTGAGAAACAACCTATTTTCCCCAAATTACCAAACAGTCACAGCACACAGTCAAATAATAAGAATACTCATACATCTGATTTGCTTTCACTATGCAGTAGAGAAACAGGAATGTAGCATACAAACTTGGAACATCAAAAAGACAATGTAAGTGTATGTATTTACCCTTGAATTATTTATTTAATCATTAAAATATGACATGTATATACATTTCAACTTCAAAATTTGGAATAAATTTTCAAAAAATGAAAATATTTGCCCAAATGACCACTACTTTACAATCAGCTGCTAATGTATGGAAATACCATTTCTAGGTAAATCCTTAATATCAATATAAATACAAGAAATGTTAGTAATTTCAATATATAATTGATAAAATTGTAACATGTATACTGATGTATATCAATTCAATACTGCTATATCAATATACTGTGAATACAAAAAATATGAAAATTTGGACAATGAGTCAAGAATAACTGTTGTGTTTGACCTAATACTTAAGTACTTAGAAAGCATATCGCTGAAGTAAATAAAATAAAAGGTAAAATAATAATAATAACCATGAGGAATAAGTATAGATATATTAGGGCAGTTATTAGAGCAAAATCAGAGAATGCTACCAGCACCTTCCTTAAACTGTAAGGGTTGTAAGTTTACCCTGAATTTTCAGTATCTATAACACTGCCTGGAGGATAAATGTGAGCCGTTCAGTAAAAAGATTCTTTGTATGAAAAAAATAATGAACATTGATTTTATTCTGCCATCAAAGTGAGTATGGGGTTAGCATATCTCATAAAATGTGAACCTAGCACTCCCGAAAAAAAGTAAACCACATGCTGATTACTTAGTTTCACCAATTTGGATGTTAGGATATAAACTCCCCAAACTGGGTGGAGTCTACTTGAACAGGTATCTATTTATTGTAATTATCATATGGTTTTTTAAAGAATAGAATTATAATAATAACAAAATGGTATTAATGAGTAAATTCAATCAGTAATAAAAATACATATTGTTAATATATCCAATGAACTATAAAGGATATTCAGAGGAGGCTTCAGCTTCTTCAGTTTCTTCTCACCAAGAAATAGGTGATAACCCTTAACCACTATGACTAAGGCACCTCTAATTCTCCATTTATACTTTTTCGTAATTCTTATTGCTCTAATTCCATACAGTCTGACTGCTCTATTATGTCTGTTTATCTAAATTTAGTGCCTACCTTTTTTTTCTTTTCTTTTTTTAGAAACGGGTCTAACTATTTTGCCCTGCTGGACTCAAACTCCTGAGCTCATGCATAAGGGCTTAATTTAATTTTATTTATTTTTATTTTACTTTAAGTTCCAGGATACGTGTGCAGAGGGTGCAGGTTTGTTACATAGGTATACATGTGCCATGGTGGTTTCCTGCACCTATTAACCCATCATCTAGGTTTTAAGCCCCACATGCATTAGATATTTGTCCTAATGTGCTCCCTTCCCTTGTCCCCAACCCCCGACAGGCCCCGGTGTGTGTTGTTCCCCTCCCTGTGTCCATGTGTTCTCACTGTTCAACTCCCACTTGTGAGTGAGAACATGTGGTGTTTGGCTTTCTCTTCCTGTGTTAGTTTGCTGAGGATAATGGCTTCCAGCTTCGTCCATGTCCCTGCAAAGGACATGATCTCATTTTTTTTTATAGCTGCATAGTATCCCATGGTGTATATGTGCTACATTTTTTTAATCCAGTCTATCATTGATGAGCATTTGGGTTGGTTTACTATTGTAAATAGTGCTGCAATAAACACATGTGTGCATGTATCTTGATAGTAGAATGATTTATATTCCTTTGGATATATACCCAGTAATGGATTGCTGGATCAAATGGTGTTTCTAGTTCTAGATGCTTGAGGAATCGCCATACTGTCTTCCACAATGGTTAAACTAATTTAGACTCCCACCAACAGTGTAAAAGTGTCCTATTTCTCCACAGCCATGCCAGCACCTATTGTTTCCTGACTTTTTAATAATCACCATTCTTACTGGTGTGAGATGGTGTCTCATTTGGTTTTGATTTGCATATCTCTAATGATCAGTGATGATGAGCTTTTTCTCATATGTTTGTTGGCTGCAAAATGTCTTCTTTTGAGAGGTGTCTGTTCATATCCTTTGTCCACTTTGTGATGGGATTCTTTTTTCTTGTAAATTTGTTTAAGTTCCTTGTAGATTCTGAATATTAGCCCTTTGTCAGATGGATAGATTGCAAAAATTTTCTCCCATTCTGTAGGTTGCTGGTTCACTCTGATGATAGTTTCTTTTGCTCTGCAGAAGCTCTTTAGTTTAATTAGATCCCATTTGTCAATTTTGACTTTTGTTGCAATTGCTTTTGATGTTTTAGTCATAAAATCTTTGTCCATGCCTATGTTCTGAATGGTATTGCTTAGGTGTTCTTCTAGGGTTTTTATGGCTTGGGGTTTTATTTTTAAGTCTTTAATACATCTTGAGTTAATTTCTGTATAAGATGAAAGGAAGGGGTCGAGTTTCAGTTTTCTGCATATGGCTAGCCAGTTTTCTCAGCATCATTTATTAAATAGAGAATCCTTTCCCCAATTACTTGTTTTCATCAGGTTTGTCAAAGATCGGATGGTTGTAGATGTGCGATGTTAATTCTGAGGTCTCTGTTCTGTTCCATTGGTCTATATGTCTGTTTTGGTACCAGTACACCCTGCTGTTTTTGTTACTGTAGCCTTGTAGTACAGTTTGAAGTCAGGTAGCGTGATGTCTACAGCTTTGTTCTTTTTGCTTAGGATTTTCTTGGCTATACGGGCTCTTTTTTGGTTCCATATGAAATTTAAAGTAGTTTTTTCTAATTCTGTGAAGAAAGCCGATGGTAGTTTGATGGGAATAGCATTGAATCTATAAATTACTTTGGAACATATAACCATTTTCACAATATTGATTCTTCCTATCCATGAGCATGGAATGTTTTTCCATTTGTTTGTGTCCTCTCTTATTTCCTTGAGCAGTGATTTGTAGTTCTCCTTGAAGAGGTCCTTCACATCCCTTGTAAGCTGTATTCATAGATATTTTATTCTCTTTGAAGCAATTGTGAATGGGAATTCATTCATGATTTGGCTCTCCGCTTGCCGATTGTTGGTCTACAGGTATGCTTGTGATTTGCGCACATTGATTTTGTATCCTGAGATTTTGCTGAAGTTGTTTATCAGCTTAAAAAGATTTTGGGCTGAGACACTGGGGTTTTCTAAATATAGAATCATGTCATCTGCAAAAACACAATTTGACTTTCTCTCTTCCTATTTGAATACCCTTTATTTCTTTCTCTTTCCTGATTGCCCTGGCCAGAACTTCCACTACTTTGTTGAATAGGAGTCGTGAAAGAGGGTATCCTTATCTTGTGCTGGTTTTCAAAGGGAATGCTTCCAGCTTTTGAGCATTCAGTATGATATTCGCTATGGATTTTTCATAAATAGCTCTTATTATTTTGAGATATGTTCCATCAATAGCTAGATTATTGAGAGTTTTTAACATGAAAGGATGTTGAATTTTATCAAAGGCCTTTTCTGCATCTATTGAGATAATCATGGGTTTTGTCATTGGTTCTGTTTATGTGATGGATTACGTTTATTGATTTGTGTATGTTTAACCAGCCTTGCATCCCCGGGATGAAGCCAACTTGATCTTAGTGGATAAGCTTTTTGATGTGCTGCTGGATTCAGTTTGCCAGTATTTTATTGAGGATTTTTGCATCGATGATCATCAGGGATATTGGCCTGACATTTTCTTTTTTGGTTGTGTCTCTGCCAGGTTTTCATAACAGGATGATGCTGGCCTCACAAAATGAATTAGGGAGGTGTCCCTCTTTTTCGATTGTTTGGAATAGTTTCAGAAGGAATGGTACCTTTTTGTACCTCTGGTAGAATTCAGCTGTGAATCCAACTGGTCCTGGGCTTGTTTTTTTTTTTTTTTTTTTTTTTTTTTTTTTGGTTGGTAGGCTATTAATTCCTTCAAGGCTTATTTTATACGTTGCTTTTGCATTTGCTCAAGGCCTAGTCTTTAAGAATTAAGATTTTCATGACGTACTGTAGCTTTGGGCACACCAGCTGTGGAAGGGCAGTAGAGTCAGTGCCTCTCTCAAATTTTAGTGTTCTGTCTACCGCTGTGGTGACTGCACCCAGCTCCTGCTGAGAAGAACATGCCTTCAGTCAGGTAACAGATGGATCCGAAATAGTGAATCGAGAAGGATAAGAGTTGTATTTCTCTCTCAAGTATCTGTCTAGAAATAGATGGGGATGGGAAGTTCCAGCTGGTGGCACCAGTCTGCTGCAGGTCATTCAGGACTCCATTTACTTCCATCTGTTACTCCTGAATTTTCTAGGGCATTGTTGTTATTTGCTTAAGTTGGGTCATGGTCACATCTTTATTCTAACTCATGAGATGAAAGTAAAAAATGAAGGGGGTACAATAAATTCCTTTTAAGTGAGTGTCATAGTAGCTGTACACACCATTTTAGTTCACATTCCATTGGCAAGAACTGAGTCCCATGAGCCGACGCTGCAGCAAAGTCCAGGAAATACAGTCTACGGTGGGTCAATCATGTGCCCAGCCAAATATATTTTTCAATGAGATGGAGAGAATAGACTGTGCTGGGCAACTAGCATAGCTGGAAGGAAATAGACTGAAACAAATAATCATGTAGTGTTCACCTGCCTTTAATTGAATCAGTCTTTTTGTGAATGAAATTAAAATAATGAATGAGAGTCTCTATATAAGCAATACCTATGTATTTTCATTAAACAGCACCTATGTAACAGTTTCTCCAGGAATTACTGTTTAATCACTTTCCAGTCAATGTCAGGTGGAAAACCTTATGTTTCTATCGAACCCGTCAAACAATTTTATCTTTGATCATAGTTCTTGGAAGCATAAAGTGATCCTGGGTGTAATTTGGTCCTGCACTTCATTTTACAAATGAGAAAACTAAGGTGAAAGATGACGCGTTGGCTCATGCCTGTAATCCCAGCACTTTGGGAGGCTGAGGCGGGCAGATCACGAGGTCAGGAGTTCAAGACTAGCCTGGCCAACATGGTGAAACCCCGTCTCTACTAAAAATACAAAAAATTAGCTGGACGTGGTGGCAGGCACCTGTAATCCCAGCTACTCAGAAGGCTGAGGCAGGAGAATCGCTTGAACCTGGGAGAAGTTGCAGTGAGCGAGATCACGCCACTGCACTCCAGCCTGGGTGACACAGTGAGACTCGGTCTCAAAAAAAAAAAAAAGATGATACAATGACAAGAAATGGTCTCCCTATGTCCAAGATTACTAGCCTGGGAGTCTGGAAATCTGTGTCCTAGGCTCTGGTGCTACTTCCTGTCTCTTTCTTTCATTCTTTTAAGATTTATGTTGTATTATTTTAGTCCAGAGAAATGGAATAACACCAGGTGACGGTGAGGTGGGGCTTCAATGCTAGTCTGACTTAAACCAGGTGAAAACAAGATAGAACGTAGAAAACTAACCAAGGGACCACAAAGTGAAACATCAACATATTGGCCTCTGTCTGTCTTTCCATGATTACTCACCACAATCTCCTTTTATACACCCTATTCTGCTTACATAGCCTGTAATTTCTAGGTCTTATGCTCATGGAGTGAAACAAAACAGGGAAATTAAGGCATGTGTCACAGGGAAAATATTGTCCTTGTACAGAAATGCACATCATTGTTCATATGGTCCTATTTAACATTCTTTGTCATCATCCTGCAAATCTTAATTACTACAAATTAATCTGAATATAGCAAAAAGCAGTCTAGAAAATTGAATTAGACACAGTCCAGAATTCATTCTTGAGTAAAGTTTGAGAGCTACTGCTGACTACTGGATTCCTCATTGTGACATAAAAATTATTAAAACAGGAGGAATCATACTTTTGCCCAAAGCATTATTCACCCTCAGTCTATTATGAGTATGATCTTCTTAGACTAGCTGAGGTTTTAAATTATTCAAAACCCACGCAATTCTAAACTCAAAGTAAGGATGTCATATCTGGAGGCCAATTCTGTATGGTAGCTAGAATAGCTTAGTATCGGGTTGATATTTCATTTTAAAAACATTTTTCATAATTTGTAGATTTTATTCTTAAACCATTCTTTTAGTATTTTCATTTAGAGTTGGTAACCTATAAGGTTCAATGCTTCTTCAAGAACTTGGAGCTTTTCACTTTTCATGGTTAATTTTATTTTTCCCCCTTTCTCCCATCCTCCCTGCCTTCCCACCTTTCTTTCTTTTTTCTTCCTTTACACAAATATTGACTCAGCACTTAGTATGTACCAGGTACTCTGCTAGAGATTAGGGCTATAGAATGAATGAGGCAGTGTCTACTTGCATTAAGCTTACAATCTATTAGTGAAAACAGATACTAACTTACTTACAATTTTTCTAGTATTGTAAAAGTTAATAGTGCACTCTCTGGATTTGGGGATTTAAAAATCTCCTTTCACCAATTCTGCCCTCTGGACTTCTGGGAAATATTCAAGTTCAACCCAAAGAACATTCTTTGTTCTAAAAAATGCTTTTCATATTAATTTCAGCTCAACAAAAAGCCTTCTGAAGTCAGGCTTCAGAGGTACACACAAATAAGTGGGGTTCATGGCACAGTCACCTATCTGGGCCCACCCACAGCTTTCCTATCATCTCCCAAAGCACTCCATGGCCAGAGCAACAGGGAGTATTTTTCAGTAAACACTGAATTGACTGTTGGACTCCATAATGCAAATTTGATTTTTTCAGTTACTCTGGTCATACAGTGCACCTATCTACAATGGTCTGTGGACCTGCTATTATTTTTATGAGTTAATCAACTTGAAATTTAAGAATGGATTATAAAGCCGTCATTTTATACAACCAAAAGGGAGAGAGAGAGAGAGAGAGAGAGAGAGAGAGAGGGGTACTGCACAAGGAAACTTAAAAATCCCACCACAACAGATGGCTTGTGCCATTTTGAATTTACTCTCCCTAAGGAGCAATCCCTTGTAGAGGCTATTAAAGCTTCTGTTTGCATGAGAAAATGCTATTTCAATGTTGATGGCTATATATGTGTGACCTCCATTGAAAACAAAAGTCACAGAGATTTGCCCTGAATTCAGAGGAGTGAAACAATGAGGTTGGAAGACTAAACCCACCCAGTGTCACATGCATCTTTGAGAACTGATTAAAGTGACAGCAGTGAAACAAAATTGCACCACTCAATACAAGATTTGCCTCAAGGAATAAAAATAAAATAGGCATATTACTCCTCAAAGACACATATTTTATTTAGTTGTTAAGAGTAGAGTGTTGGAATTTTTGAAGAACTGTTGCTATTTAATAGAGGTGAAAGTTTTAATGTGAATACTGCCTGTGTGAGCGCGTGTGTGCAAAGTTGGCGTGACACATTCTGCTCAAATTAGACTTCTAAATAACTAGTAACAGCTGTGGTGCTTAGAAATCGGTTTGGTTTAAATGATGATGTCATGTGCTTATATAAGTAAAATAGGTGTACTTATTGAATGGCAGAGTATATAACTCACTTTTTATCTAGAAGAGACAGTGTAGGTATCTCCGTTTAGAGGCTGTAAATATGCCACACCTAAAAGTAAATTATATTTTTCAACACACCTAAAATTTTTATCTTCATGCACTACTTAAAAGTATGTATGTTCATATATATAGCAGATATAAGAACAGACATATAAAAACTATTTCATGGCAGCAAGAAAAATTACCCAACACTTATATCCCGTACCTGAATTAAGACCTGTGATATGGGTGACTGGGATCCTCCATCCATGATTAAAAATAAAATAAAATATAATAAAAAATAAAAATAAATAAACATCAGGAAACAGTCAAGTTTGTAGAATTACATTTTTATTTTCTAAAAGCACATTAACAGCAGAAGCTAGTAAATAAAAATTACTAAGAAACAGTTATAATTAAGCTACTAATTCTCTTTTCTATGGTAAATATTGGATAGAGATTAATGTCAGGGAACATGCTTGCCCTAAAATTTAGAAAAAAAAAAGTCATACAATAATCACAATGAATATTTTAGCCGATCTGACTCTAATAATTTGAGAAATGGATGGTATTTGAGTGGAGAAAAGGGAGCATATTTTAAAATTAAGTATATAATGAAGATTCTTCTCTATTACTAGAGGTCTGAAATCATGAATAAGTCTAAATCTGATGTCTCTCTTCACACTCACAAAGATAGAAAGACAGCAGTTAGCAGCACAACATACTTATTTTGATATTGTCTTATAAAAGACCAGGTTAATTATAAAAGCATTATTCATTTATGTGAAAAGATTTCACGCATGTTCTTGATTAAAGAAAAGCTCAAAAGAAATGAATTATTTTTGTTTTGAAACTAAAAATATGGCTCTTTTAAATGCCTTTCCTTCCAAAGCCTTAAAAAAGAGAGAGAGAGAGAACAGCTTCTCATTCAGAAACATAGGAGACAAGTGTTCTTCCAGGGAAGCCTACATTATTCACTCTCTGCACCCCTCATCTTTTAACATTGAGGGAATCTGGTGCTAACATACTTTCTTCACAAAATCACCAGTGCCTCTCATTTCAGCTATTAAGTATTTAAAGTCAAGTAGTTTGAGAGTGAGCCTATCTCTTCTTCTACTCCTGTGTGGGCTAAATAAAGTCCAAATTCTCAAAATGGCTTGCCATCTTAGAGAAAGAAGGAAGAAGTGTTTAAGAGGACACATAGAGGAAGAAGTGTTTCCAAAAGAAGTTATGGTGATATAATATGGTAAGCAAAAAAAAAAAAAAAAAAAAAAATGTTTGCTATGTCCTACACTCAGCTGGAACATCTCCTGTTTGGAGATAGTTCACAAAACGATTTCACAGACAAATGGTTTAATGCATGGCCAGCCAATTTAGCCTTTATTTTAAATATATTCTTTATGCATATAGATATTTTGAGATTGTGCCTTCTGGAATGATTACTGAAACCACACTGAAAAGTCATTATGCAGAAACATGGGTGTACAAATAGTTCATAGCTTAGGGGAACTATAAATAGAACTGACTGAATCTTGTTAAAGAGTTCATGTCCTGGTTATTTAAAAGAACTATTTTGATGGCATCGATTAGCTATAACACTTCTAATTAGCATTTCACTAAAATAAAGTACAAAAACAATCACACTCAAGTTTTGGAAAGGAATATTGATGAAAAATACACTGAATTGAAAAATGAAATATGGTCTAATTCCAACAACAGGGAAAGTTTTCTTTTTCCTTTATGCCATAATTTTTTAACTCTAAGGACATGTGAAGCAATTACCTGTAATTTTTTGGCTTAGTCTAGAGACCAATGGTAATTGAAAAATATAGAAATATCTAACCAGATTCTTAAAACTTCACTGATAATTGTTAGGAACCAAGTAATTAATACCCCATAAATCATTCTAATATTATGTGACAATGACAATTACATGTGGTTGTGGTATAACACTAGTTACTATCAAAGGGGTACAAAATATGATTTTCGATTTTTAAGGTATATTTATAAATTTGATACAATAAAACTGCATACTACCCTTAATAAAATCCCAATATCTTATCTTAGGAAATAGTCCTTGAGTTATGATACCCTCACTGTATTATCACTCTTCTCAGGGAATCCTTAAGTGACTAGCAGTCTCCATTTCAACCTTCCCACTTGGTTTTTCACATTTAATGGATAATTGCTTGTATTTCACAATTTTAGGAAGAAATGGACAATGTTTTGATACCTTTGGTGGACTGCTAAAGGGTGCTGAGGCATAGTTAACATTGAATACAGATATAGATATTTATATGTCTTCATGCATGTATGACATATATTTGCTGATGTGTATATACATGCCTGTGTACATACATACATATATCCTGCTTCAGCAATTTACAAGATCACAACACGTATCTTAGTAAAAACTACCTTGTTTGGGGATTACTGTGCACGGTCTTAGCCCTGAATGAGATTGAAAGTTCATAACCTCACAGACATTTATGGCTAGTTTTTTAAACTTTGATGAGTTTAAATTTTACATTATTAAACAGCTTAATTATCTATTGCATGAAACTATTTGAAAGTATTTAAGGTATGACTTACTCATTGATACCAGATTTTATAAGCTTTCTATATGTAAAACTATTTTAAAGCATTCCGTCTATTAGACCCAACATTAAATATCACTGTAAAAATAAGGAATAAAATATTTGATGACAAATTCAAACACCCAACACAAAATATTTCTATCTTATTTTTCATAGGAAAATAAAAAATAAATGCCTTATCTCAAAATACATAAAGAAAAACAGTTTAGGCTCTTATGTAGTACATGGGCATTGGAGTGATTTCCTTGATTTTCACATAGTTCTTTCCCTCAACATATTTATACTCTTTTCTCTATCCCTCCATCTTTTTAGCTGCCAACAAGGGTAATGTCAACCCAGCTGAAACTGATTAACCAACAACAATCTCATTTTAAATCCTTTATAAATAATTTAAATATACAGACCTCATGAAAAGTGGTATGCTACAACATGATGCTTTAAGAGTTCAAAGAAGATTGTGCCATAATATTTAAATGGGACTAGCTGCTTCATTTTGTGTCCTGTGAAGCATTATGCATTTAGAATACTGAGGTACATGGTGGGAAAATTAAGCCCATGAACAGCAGGAAAGATGTTTTTGCAACATATGCCAATGGAATACTCATTTGCCATCAACTTACTTAAATGAACCAAAAGATAGATAGTATTTTGGGCATTTATCCAAAAAGGAGGGTCTGGTGGGGAATTGCAAAAGCTTCAAAACTAAAGGAAATCACTCTGAATGCATTTCAAACTAAATTCTTATGGTTTAATTTAGATCTGCCTTATTAATCCATATTAATGGATAGTAATCATTTCAGTTATTATCTCCATGTATTAGAAGAATATTTTCATAAAGTGCGTAATGAAGTTGGATCTATGTGAGGAAATAAAATGATTCAAAAAAACTGCTAAGCTTAAATGATATTGCCATATGAACTTGGACACGTCTTTCACTTCTTAAGTTAATCAGATTATTCAATCATACCAACATATTCAAACATACAAGGGATACAGTACAGTTATCATTTGTTCATTCAGGGATACCTCATTGAAGAGAAAACCAGATACCTTTTTGGTTCTCATCAAGCCAGTAATAATAATCTACCATCCGCATTAACTGGTTCTGAGGCAAGTATCTGACCTAAGACAGGTCGAGCTAGATCTGAAAGTACAAAAGATTCTTTAAAAATAAACAACATATGGAGAGTAGTAAGTTGCTGGTCAGGTTGTGATATGTGACGCTTGGAATTCAGTGGTTTTGTTTCCTGCCAGATGGACTGAAAGACAGAAGCCAGTGTTTGTAGCACAGAATAGAGAGTGTCCTGAAAGCATTCACAGTGTTGTGTATCCATTAACTCTGAGAGCTCACTGGACCCTTGCTGGTCTCAGAGTTACATTAGGTACTCCAGTGTCCTTCAAATACCTCTCTTCTGTCTAATACAGCTCAAGTCATCTTCCTATTCCTTGTGCTCAAAAGAATTATAATTAACATACCAATAAATCAGTAAACATTTCTGATCGTTTACTTGATGCTTACCAATTTTGAAGACATTTGGAAGAATCAGTAGATTTAGACATAGTACAGGAAGGTACAATTAACTCATCCAAACTATTGTTATCCAGCACACGTTAACTAAGTAGCTACTATGCATTTTACTAGGACCTTAATACAGAAGTGTGTAAGGCACAGTCTTGCGATAAAAGCCAAAAATTGGAATAAATACAAGGGAAAAGGATGGTGCAGTGGCTTACACCTATAATCCCAGCACTTTAGGAGGCTCAGCTGAGCAGATCACTTGAACCAAGGAGTTCGAGACCAGCCTGGGCAACATGGCAAAACCTTGTCTCTATAAAAATTACAAAAATTAGCTGGGCATGGTAGTGTGTGCCTGTAGTCCCAGCTACTTGGAAGGCTGAGGTGGGAGGATCCCTTGAGGCTGGAAGGTGGAGGCTGCAGCGAGCCATGATCATGCCACAGCACTCCAGCCTTGGATACAGAGCCAGACCCTGTCTCCAAAAACAAAAACAAAAACAAAATACAAAACAAAAATACAGGCACTTAATATAAATGAAACCTAGGGTATAGAAAGTCTAAGTTGCTTAGAGAAGCTAAACACCGAATTTAGTGGTTGAGGGAGGTATCTCTCCACATGGACCTGAGGGCAGCCTTACAGAAGCCTATTTGGGGCTAGGAAAGCAGCAAAGAATTCCTAAACTCTTCCGAAGCCTCCTCCCTGCAATTCTCTCCCATGCTCAGGCAGAGAAGTTTTGAGAAGGCTGGAGAAAAAAGAATTGCAGTGGGAATATGGTGGACAAGAGTAGTTTATATTATGACCAGGACCATGAAAAGGACTATGGACACCAAAAGCAGGTGCCAACACAGCATGACCATAGACCATATAGAAGAAGGCAAAGGTCAGCAGGGACCCAGGTCCACACTGAGACCAGGCTCCCTCCTGCCCCTTCCAGGGTCCTGATGAAGGATGGGATGTAAACCCAGTCACCACCCTCCTATATAGATCACCCCCACATGAGAAAGAGAGGCAGTAGAAGCCAGAATGTTCACTGTACTAAGTTTAAATTCTGAACTGATAACATTTAAAACAGACTATGACTGAGATAGCTTGAAGGGGCAGGTTTACTTTTTTTTTTTTTTATCCCACAGAGAACTCATCAGCTAGTTGAGTTTAGTTACAACATACAGAAGTATTTTAAATCTGTTACGATACACAGTCATGTAAAAAAGTCTGAAAGAAGGAAAAGATACTCATATATATTAAATAGTGAAATGCACAATTCATTAATTATATAATCCCCCTGAGATTGTACAGTTCCTGAATATGGATACTAGGTTCCAGAAGACAGGAAACATAATGTAAAAATAACTTTCTTTTATGTAATATAAATTATTATTACAAAATTGACTTTTGGTGGTAAGACATATTGATATTCAGTGAAGCAAAAACGCTTTAAATTTGTGACTTGCTATAAATCTAGACTATGTAAACTCCAGACTTGAACTTGGAATATTTAGGTCCTAGCTTTGTCTCATATGAGTGTGTTCTTGAGTATGTCACTTAACAGATCTGAGATATATTTTATTAACCTGCAAAACAGAGAAAATAAAACCTTTACCTACCTCATATAATTGTTGTGAAAACCAGATGACAATATATGAGAAAACACCTTAAAACTCCAAAGCTTTACAAAGACATATGATTAAAAACGTAATGCTCAAATAGCAACTCTCTCATAAACAGTACTTAGTGCATGGCCTTGATTACTCAAAAATTATTTATGAGTGGCTAGGACATGATGTAGAAACAAAGTAATCCCAAATTTTTTATGGTTTAATAAAACAAACTTGCATTTCTTGCCCATACTATATATCTAATAAAAGTTGGCAGGAGACTGCTCCACAGTCACTTAGAACTCCAGGCTGACAAAATCTGCATCACTTTATAATGCTGCTATATCAAGTAGTGACATCAGAATTTGCCACATCACTGGAACAGAAAGTATATAGGATACATATCTACACCTTAACTGCTTCAGATGAAAGGTAACACAGTTCCCTTCCTTTCAGGGCCCATTGGCCACAATTTTTTACATAACACCCACCTAACCGCAAGGAAGAAAGTATTTGCATGTGTCCAAAAAAAGAAAAAGAGAGAAGTGAGTATGAATATGCTTTATAAGCTCTAATAAAAAGACACCATGAGAGATAGAAAAGATTTATAAAACCCGTTAATATATTTTAAAAGATATATTTAATTGGGAAGATGAAGCAAATATATATGAATATATATATTCATTAAAACATAAGTAAATGCAATATTTCTAGTGACTATCACTTCAGAATGCCCAAAGGTGGGATATATGATGAACCTCACTGCTTTTTCTGAAAATCACGTATCTTCCTTCCTTTTAAGAGTATCTTTATTTTCCTTTGCAGAATTATAATTCGCATCATCTCAGCCTATGTGCCAGAGGGGTGCATGACCCAGAAGTGACCATATTCAATTATTCCAGCAACAATGACAGGAATATGACCCTAGTACAGGCAAATATAAGTCAATTATAAAATGATTTTTGTGCTAATGATGGAGAAAATTTCTTTTTCCAGTGGAATTACAATTTGGTGCAGCACACCAGCATGGCACATGTATGCATATGTAACAAACCTGCACGTTGTGCACATGTACCCTAAAACTTAAAGTATAATAATAATAAAAGAAAAGAAAATAAAATATAAGCCTGGAGCTGCAAGAGGTCATCACATGGAAAGAAGAAGAAAGATTTTTTAAATGGGAAAAGAATAAAGAAGAATTAATGACATCAAATCAATGGATCCAGCAGAGCCTGAAAAATACAGCAGTGCCAATAAATTCTCCATTTTGCTTCGGCTGAGTTTCTGTGGCTTGCCATGGAAACAGTCCTGACATACATGGGAACGTTATGGGTTGGAATAGTTGCACTGGGCTTTACAAGGAACAAGTGTGAAAAGTGAGCTCTGGAAGATGAGTAGGACTTAGCTCCAGAGGAGGTGCATAGATAACATCAGTGATGATTAATAGCATAAGGAAAATACAGAGACAGTAATGATGCATATTGAATTAACTGGATTGGAAAGTATGTGGTGGTTAATAGTGACAAACAGAATTGAATGAGTAGTGCAGAAACAGATTATAAAAGATCATAAAATTCAGGCAGACTATTTTTAATTTGGTAAAATAAGCAGTGGGGTGCTGTGCAAGAAGACAATAAAACACAAGTGAAACCAACAGAATCTACAGATAGCACAGATACGTAGAGTCTCCTAAGCTGTTGACATTATCAACTCCAGACAGTAAAACTATGCTTACCAAATTTGAGTAAATAAAATCCAACCTTAAATTTTTGGCAGGAAACTTGAAACTATAAAAATTGCTATGGCAAGTTTGAAAAGAAACAAATGTGAAATTCTAGAATAGAAAAATAAATGAAATTAAGAACTAAGTGGATGGTTTTAACAGAATATATATACATATCCAGAGAGCAAATTAGGAACCCATAAAATCAGACAGAAGTAGTTATTAAAAATAGTAAAAGAAATGTCAAAATGATGGAAAAGGAGGAGGTTCAGAAACATAAAGGATACTGTGAGAAGTTGTAGTATATGTAAAACAGAAGACCCCAAAATAGAGGAGAAAAAGCACAGGACAAAAGCAATTTAAACATGTAATCCCTAACAATTTTGTCTTAAAAAACTGATAAACTACATGAACCTATCAACTAAAAAAAAAAAAAAAAAAAAAAAACAGGGATCAAAAGCAGTATTGATGAGAAATAATTACATAAAAAGGAGTAACAGTTATGTTGGCAATGACTTTTCAAGAGCAATATGGTAATGGGATGACATTAAAATACAATTTTCTGTATGCTGGAATAAATAATTACATAACTAAAATTGTATGTTGAGAAACATATTCTTTAAGATTAAGAGTGAAATAAAGACATTTTTGAATGTAAAGAAACTGAGATTGTTCACACAAACTGAGAGTAAGACATTCTAAAGTGTGATCCTGGAGACTGATTTGAGTGCTGACTCCAGTTCTCGCATGGTCAATTAAATAGTAATAATAATAATAATTTTAAAAATAAAAAATAAAGTGTGATCCTCAGAAGGAAAAAAGTGATCCTGAATTAAAAGTCAGAGATGCTATAAGAATTCAAGGAAAGTGATGTGGTAAATATGTGGGTAAATCTAAGTAATCATCAATAGTAGATAAAACAATAATGAAGCTGTTAGAGGCTTGCATACACTCACACACATAGGTTCAACAGCATTACAAACAACAAACACAGTCAATTGAATTAACGTGTTCTAAGTTTCTTCCATTGTTTGGAATGAAAATAAAATTATCAGTTTTAGATGCTGATAAGTTTATGTGTTATGATTTCCAGAGTATCTGCTAAAAAAGAGAAAAATAGTATATACTTTCTAGACTCATAAAAGGAAAAGGGACTAATATAAAGGAAATCCTTAATCATTCCAAAAGATAGGAAAGAAGAGAAAGAGAAATATTTGGCAGGTACAAAAAATATAAAGCATTTAGCAAGATAGTATATTTAGACCTAAATATACCAATAATTACAGTAAATTTAAATGGGCCAAATAGCTGCCAAAAGACACTTTAAACCAAATTTGATAAGAAGTAGATTGAAATAAAAACAAAAATAATATAATATGCAAATACTTAAATGTATACTATAAAAAGATATATACAAACATTAAAGAAGCTGAAATGGCTAAATTAAGCAGATAAAAGAGAACTGAAGAATTTTTAAGAAGCAAATAGACAAATTCCTAGTAAATACATTTTCAAAACTGACACACGAAGAAAATGAAAATTGAGTAATCCCAAACCAAAGAAATAGAATCCAAAAATCTGGAGCCAGATGCCATCAGATTAATTTAATCTTAGATGATTAAATTAACCATGTAAGAGCAATAGAAAACAAAGCTTATACAAACTCTTACAAAAAATTTAAAATTAAGTATATTCTCCAACTTAATTTATAAAATCAGCATAGCCTTGATTTCAAAACTAACAAGTAAACAAAAATAAATCAATTTCAAACACCAACCATCAAGTCCAAAAATCCTAAACAAAATATTAGCAATCCTAATATATAAAAATGTAAAAATGATCATATATCCTGAATAACTTGGGATTATCCCAGTAAGGCAATTGTAGCTTAATATTAAAAAATATGTAAATGGAATTTACCACATTAAAGAGGTAAATATTTTACTTTATATTTTTACATTTATTTACTTATTTATTTATTTATTTTTGAGATGGAGTTTCACTCTTGTTGCCCAGGCTGGAGTGCGATGGCTGGATCTTGGCTGACTGCAACCTCCACCCCCAGGTTCAAGCGATTCTCCTGCCTCAGCCTCCCAAGTAGCTGGAATTACAGGTGTGTGCCACCATGCCTGGCTAATTTTGTATTTTTAGTATGGATGGGGTTTCACCATGTTGGTCAGGCTGGTCTCAAACTCCTGAACCCAGGTGGTCCACCCACCTCAACCTCCCAAAGTGCTAGGATTACAGGCATGAGCCACCACGCCCAACTGGTAAACATTTTAAAATGTTGATATGATCACCTAAATAGTGGCAATAAAATTCAACATCCATTGATAGTAATCAAAAATTAAGTTAAACATTCTTAGAAAACTAAAAGTATGGTAAATTCCTGTATTTGCTAATAAAGATTTTATTCTAAAAGAAAACATAAGTTGTACTAAATTGGGAAATATTGACATTTTTTCATTTGCATTTAGAAATGAGATGAGAATACTCACTATCTTCACTTCTAAGAAATCTGTTACTGAAAACCCTAGCTTGTTAATTAAAACAAAAAAAAAACCCACTAAAATATATAAGGATTGAGCAAGAAGTAAAGTTGGAATTATTTAAAAATGATTTCATTGTATAAATAGAATATCCAATTGATTGTAAAAATAAGTCATTGAAGTTAAAACAAGTATAACAAGATTAATTTGCTTTTGAACTTACTTTTACATATAAAGAATACAAATTTGATAAGTGAAAAATTGTAAAGATATTATAGATACTAGCATAAAATATCAAACATGTCAGATTTACTCTGATAAAGATAGGAAGACCTATGTATCAAAACTATGAAGCATTACAAAAAATAAATAAATAAGGTTCAAATAAGTGGAGATTATATTGAATTCATTGATTAGAAGAGTAAGCATAAAAAAGTCAATTATCTCAAAATGTTCTATAGATACTGAATAACCCCAATTTATAACCTAACTTTATAAGTCACTTATTTGTTTATTTATTTATTCTTTCTGTCCTGTTTTGCATGTTTTTCATCTTTTCTCTTCTTTTATGCCTTTTCTCTTCCTTCCTTCATTTCTCATCTTTCTTTAATTCTTTCTCTCTCCTTCCTTCCACCATGGATATTGTCAAGCTGATTAAAACTTTATATGAAAATTCAAAAGACCAAGAATAACCATCACACTCTCCAAGAAAAACAAAGTGAGAGGATTGATCTACCTGACAAAAATTTTTATAAACTCACAGTTACATCAGTATAGTATTGCTTTGGAGACAAATAAAACAAAAGAATCAAATACAGACCTCAAAAACAAATCCAGGCATATATGGCAGTTGATTCATTAAATATGTCACTTAGGTACAAAGGAAAAAACAAATCTTTTTAATAAATGCTCTTGATAGAGATGATGAGGGAGGAGAATAGGGGTAGAAAGACTTCTATGCATTACTATACTTCAAAATACATTGCAAAATGTTGTAAATCTTAATGTGAAATGTAAAGCAACAGTGTCTCAAAACAATTTAGGAAAGTATTTTCATGATCTTGGGTTTATGAAACATTTCTGAAAGAATACACAAAAAGCACAAATCATAAAACATAAGGAAGGCTGCCAAGTCTGACTTCATTATAATTAATATTTTTTCATCAAAAACATTATTAATAGTGTGAAGACAGTAAGATACATGGGAAAGTCATTTTTAGTACATATAACCAAAAGGACTAATACAGAATATAGAAAAACTTCTGTGATCAATAAGGTAAAATTAGAATTTTAATAAATAAGTGGATAAGGCCAGGCGCAGTGGCTCACGCCTGTAATCCCAGCACTTTGGGAGGCCAAGGCAGGTGGATCACGAGGTCAAGAGATGGAGACCATCCTGGCCAACATGGTAAAATCCCGTCTCTACTAAAACTACAAAAATCAGCTGGGAGGCCGGGCGCGGTGGCTCACGCCTGTAGTCCCAGCACTTTGGGAGGCCAAGGCGGGCGGATCACGAGGTCAGGAGATCGAGACCATCCCGGCTAAAATGGTGAAACCCCGTCTCTACTAAAAATACAAAAAATTAGCCGGGCGTGGTGGTGGGCGCCTGTAGTCCCAGCTACTTGGGAGGCTGAGGCAGGAGAATGGCGTGAACCCGGGAGGCGGAGCTTGCAGTGAGCCGAGATCCCGCCACTGCACTCCAGCCTGGGCAACACAGCGAGACTCCGTCTCAAAAAAAAAAAAAGAAAAAAAAAAAATCAGCTGGGAGTGGTGGTGCACGCCTGTAGTCCCAGCTACTCAGGAGGCTGAGACAGGAGAATTGCTTGAACACAGGAGGCAGAGGTTGCAGTGAGCCAAGGTCGCACCACTGCACTCCAGCCTGGAAACACAGCAAGACTCCATCTCAAAAAAAATAAATAAATAGGTAAAAAAAATAATAACTGGTACAAGAGAGCAAATAAAAAGCAAACATTTCATTAAAGAATATCTATAAATGGCCAACAAACATATGTAACGTTGCTCAGCTTCATTAACAAATTCAAACTACCAATGAGATGAGTCACCAGATCTGCTGAAAATTACAAGGCTGATAATACCAAGTGTTGATCAGGTTAGGGAGGAATGAGAACTCTTACACAGTGCTGATGAGTTTGTACATTTTGACAACTGCTTTGGAAAACTAATTGGCATTATCTACTAATATCAAACATATGCATATTCTATGAGTCATCTATTTTACACACACACACACACGCACGCATAATGCTGTTGTTTTCATAGCAGTGTTATTAATAATAACCAAAAACTGAAACTCTCACATATTGTTGGTGTGAATATAAAATGGTAAACCACTTGGGAAAACAGTTTTTTGCAGGTTTTTATATAAACAGACACTGTCAATGTGACCCACCAATTCTATATCTATGTATTTATGCAAAAAAAGGTGAACATATATGTTAATTTAAAAATATATGAAATGTTCGCAGAAGCCAAGAAACATCCTAGAAATGATCTAAATGACCACTGGGTAAAGAAACTGTGATAGCCATACAATGAAAACTGTACACTAATGAAATAAACTACAACTATAAGCAAAGGTATTTACAAAATTCTTATCTTAAGAGATAATTTTGACGAACGATTCCATTTATAAAACATTCAACATGCACAAAACTTTTCTATTGCATTAAACATGAAGATAGTGGTTACTTGTAGAAAAAAAGAGAAAGAGTAGTTTTCGAAAGGGGTCATGTCATGGGATTCTTGGGGCCTTCTTAATGTTCTGTTTTTCACATAATTGGTGATCACATAGATCTATTTTTGATAATTTATTGAATTGTACAATACAATTTTTGTGCTTCTGTATATGTGTGGTATATGTAATTATTAAAACATTTCAAATTAATTTAAAATAAGCTAACATGGGAAAGTATTGTAAAAACCTCAGGATGTCAAAAAGTTTCCTAAGTTAAAGAAAGCACATGTCACAAAGAAAAATGTTGACAGATTTGCCTTTTTGCAAATTAAAAACTTCAATTTATCAATCATCAATAGGGTAAAACCAAGCAACAAAATGAGAAAAGAAACTTGCAACAATTAAAATAAACCTTGTTTTTGAATATTCGTAAAGACTTTTTTTTCAAATTTATAATAAGAAAGCAACAACCCAACTTAAAAATGAACAAAATTTTTGGCATTTCAAAAAAGACAATATCCAAATGGCCAGTAAACATATGAAAAGATGTTCAACATCATTAGTTATCAGGGAAATTCAAGACAAAACTACAAAACCACAAGAAAATATCATTACATGCTCACCAGAATAATTAAAATAAAAAAAAAGCAAGGATCAGTGTTACTTAAATTTCCTCTGCCTCAGGCTTCAATATGAATTGGCAGAGTTTGATTACTAATTCTGTTTTATGTAAAATTTTGATATTTTGATAATCATAGAATTTTAAAATTAATTTTTATTTTAATAAATATTTTATTAAAATATTATTCATCTTGCTTTTTGAGTTTTATCATGCCCCTTAAAACATTAGTGTTTCACTTACTTTGCTCTAAATGGCAGCCCCTCTAGCAGTAATATTTTGGCAAGTAAAGATTTAAAGGAAGAAATATTATTTACAAAACAATTCCGAATGCTTTCTGAAAGAAAAATAACAGATAGAAGTATATGTCTCACAAGTACATTGCACTATACAGGACCTTAAGACAACATGGGTGTAATAATTTAGAAGACAAAACACCAACATAAGGTATAAAAACAATTGACTGAGATAAAGAAGATGGTAGAGTAAAAAAAATAGTTAAAAAGTAAAATATTGTCATCTAGAAGCAATAAATAAAAGAGGAAGAGAAAAGGCACATCTGAAAATAAAATATAGACAAAGAGGGACAGCTTGAAGTTATCTGAGCGAATTCAGAGAAATAAAGAGAAAAAATTGAAAAAATAGAAAATAATAGTACAGAAAATATTCAATCAATCTCTCTCTACAAACATCATTTTTTTAAGTTTATATAGTCAATTATATGAATAGATTCTCAAATATTAAAGTCACCTTGTAATTCCTGGATAAATCCCACTTTGTCAAAATGTATTATTCTTTTTATATATTTTGAATTTGATTTGCTAAAACTTTGTTTTGAATTTTTTATCTATGATTATGAGAAGTTTTGGCTTGTAGATGTCTTTTTATATTTCTTTGTCTACTTTTAGTATCAGGCTAATTATCAGGCTAATGCTAGCCTCATATAATGAGTTGGAAAGTGTTACCTTCTTTTCAATTTTTCAAAGAGTTTGTGTAAATTTTATATTATTTCTTCCTTAAATATCTAGTAGAATTTACCAGTGAAGCTATGTAGGCCCAGAGTTTTCTTTGTAGGAAGATTATTAACTACAGATTTAATTTTTTATTAATAATAGATACAGAGATATTCACATTACCTATTTCTTTTTTAGTGAGTTTTAGTAGTTTGTTGCTTTCATAGAATTTGTTCATTTCATCTAGATTGTCACATTATTGGTATGATGATGTTCATAATATTTCTTTATCTTTTAATTTCTGTATACTGTAGTTACGACACTTCTCTCATTTTTATTATTAGGAATTGTATCTTCTACCATTTTTCACTAGCTAATCAAGTTAGAGATTTATCACCTTAAGACAACATGTGTGTAATAATGTAAAAATCACCAACATAAAGTATCAAACAATGGAGTGAGACAAAGAGGAAGATGGCAAAGTTTTAAAAAGTAAAATATCTTCATTTAGAAGCCAATATCTTACGGAATGGTCAAAAACTGGAAGCATTCCCTTTGAAAACCGGCACAAGAAAAGGATGCCCGCTCTCACCACTCCTATTCAACATAGTACTGGAAGTTCTGGCCAAGGCAATCAGGCAAGAGAAAGAAATAAAGGGTATTCAATTAGGAAAAGAGGAAGTCAAATTGTCTCTCTTTGCAGATGACATGATTGTATATTTAGAAAACCCCATCGTCTCAGCCCAAAATCTTCTTAAGCTGATAAGCAACTTCAGCAAAGTCTCAAGATACAAAATCAATGTGCACAAATCACAAGCATTCCTATACACCAAGAACAAACAAACAGAGAGCCAAATCATGAGTGAATTCCCATTTACAATACTACAAAGAGAATAAAATACCTAGGAATCCAATTTACAAGGGATGTGAAGGGCCTCTTCAAGGAGAACTATAAACCACTGCTCAACAAAATAAAAGAGGACACAAACAAATGGAAGAACATTCTAGGCTCATGGATAGGAAGAATCACTATCTTGAAAATGGCCATACTGCCCAAGGTAGTTTATAGATTCAATGCTATCCCCATCAAGCTACCACTGACTTTCTTCATAGAATTGGAAAAAAAACTACTTTAAAGTTCATATAGAACAAAAAAAGAGCCTGTATAGCCAAGACAATCCTAAGCAAAAAGAACAAAGCTGGAGGCATCATGCTACCTGACTTCAAACTATCCTACAAGGCTATAGTAACAAAAACAATACGGTACTGATACCAAAACAGATATATAGACCAATGGAACAGAACAGAGGCCTCAAAAATAATACCACATATCTGTAACCAACTGATCTTCAACAAACCTGACAAAAGCAAGCAATGGGGAAAGGATTCCCTATTTAATAAATGGTGCTGGGAAAACTGGCTAGCCATATGTAGAAGGCTGAAACTGGGTCCCTTTCTTATATCTTACACAAAAGTTAACTCAAGCTGAATTAAAGACTTAAATGTAAGACCTAAAACCATAAAAACCCTAGAAGAAAACCTAAGCAATATCATTCAGGACATAGGCATGGGCAGACTTCATGACTAAAACACCAAAAGCAATGGCAACAAAAGCCAAAATAGACAAATGGGATTTAATTAAACTAAAGAACTTCTGTACAGCAAAAGAAACTACCATCAGAGTGAACAGGCTACCTACAGAATGGGAGAAAATTTTTGCAATCTATCCATCTGACAAAGGGCTAATATCGAGAATCTACAAAGAACTTAAACAAATTTACAAGAGAAAAACAAACAACCCCATCAAAAAGTGGGCAAAGGATATGAACAAACACTTCTCAAAAGAAGACATTTATGCAGCCAACAGACGTATGAGAAAATGCTTATCATCACTGGTCATCAGAGAAATGCAAATCAAAACCACAATGAGATACCATCTCATGCCAGATAGAATGGTGATCATTAAAAAGTCAGGAAACAACAGATGCTGGAGAGGATGTGGAGAAATAGGAAAGCTTTTACACTGTTGGTGGGAGTGTAAACTAGTTCAACCATTGTGGAAGACAGTGTGGCAATTTCTTAAGGATCTAGAACTAGAAATACAATTTGACCCAGCAATCCCATTACTATGTATATACCCAAAGGATTATAAATCATGCCATTATAAAGACACATGCACATGTATGTTTATTGTGGCACTATTCACAATATCAAAGACTTGGAACCAACCCAAATGTCCATCAATAATAGACTGGATAAAGAAAATGTGGTACGTATACACCATGGAATACTATGCAGCCATAAAAAAGGATGAATTCATGTCTTTTGCAGGGACATGGATGAAGCTGGAAACCATCATTCTCAGCAAAATATCACAAGGACAGAAAACCAAACACCCTATGTTCTCACTCATAAGTGGGAGCTGAACAATGAGAACACATGGAGACAGGGAGGGGAACATTACACACTGGGGCCTGTCAGGGGGTGGGGGGCTGGGAGAGGGATAGCATTAGGAGAAATACCTAATGTAAATAACGAGTTGACGGGTGGAGCAAACCAACATGGCACATGTATCCCTATGTTGTGCACACGTACCCTAGAACTTAAAGTATAATTTTAAAAAGAAGCAATAAATAAAAGAGGAACAGAGTCAGAACATCTGAAAATAAAATACTTCGACTGATTTTAGCATCAATAAATATTATCAATTTTAAAGACCAAGTTTTTTAATTCATTGATTTTCTCTACTGCTTTTCTGTTTTCTGTTCCATTGCTTTCTGCTCAGATATTTATTATTTTGTCTCCTGCTTACATTAGGTTTAATTTGCTCTACATTTTTAGTTTCTTAAGATGACATCAGAGGTCTCTGATTTGAGACATTTCTTATTTTCTAATACGTACATTTAGTGCTATAATTTTTCTCTCAGTTCTGCTTTAGTTCATCCCACAAATTTTGATATGTTGTATTTTTATTTTCATTAAGTGAAAAAATGTTCTAATTTCCCTTCTAATTCTGTCTTTGACCAGTGGGCTAAGTGTGTTCTTTAGTTTCCAAATATTTGGGAATTTTTAAAGGATTATTTTATTACTTATTTTAACTTAGTTCCATTGTCCTCAGAAAACAGGCACTATATAACTTGAATCATTTTAAACTTAGTACCACTTATTTTATGGCCCAGAACATCATCAATTTTAATAAATATTTTGTGTGACTTTGCAAATGATATATATTCTGTTGGTGGGTAGAGGGCTTTATAGGTGTTAAATCAACCAAGTTGGTTGATAGTACATATCAAATATTCTTTCTCCTTATTGACTTTGACTACTTATTTTAACGATAGTTGAGAAGGAATTATCAGACTTCCTAAAAACATTTGTGGATTTGACTATTTCCACTTGAAGTTCTATTCATTTTGCTTCAGATGTTTTGAAGCTCTATTATGAGGTAGGTATATAAACATTTAACATTGTTATATCCTCATGATGAATCATGAAGTCATTAGGAAATTACCTTCCTCATTATTAGAAATATTATTTTCCTTGAAATATACTTCTGATATTAATAATATCTTTTCAATTATTTTAAAAATTAGTGTTATAATAGTATGGCTTTTTTTCCATTCTTTTAGTCTATTTGTATCTTATATTTAAAGGGCATTTCTTATAGACAGCATACAGTTAGATCTTGCTTTTGTATCCAATTTCAAATTCATTCCCGTTTAAATTGGATATTTAAGTCATTTGTACTTAGTGTGATTACTACTATAGTTAGCTTTGAATCTAACATCTTGCTGTTTATTTTCCATTTAACTCATCTGAAATTTTTTCCCTTTTTTCTTCTTTATTTGCCTTCTTCGGGGTTAATTGAACATTTATGATTCCATTTTATTTCTTTTGTTGGCTTATTAACTATAATTTGTTGTTTTATTATTTTAGTCATTGCTTTATGGCATAGTATATATCTTTAAATTATTGTAGTCTATCTTTAAGTGATATAACCACTTTGTGTATAACAACTTTACAATACTATGCTTTCTTTACTCTTCCTGATGTGTGCTATATTTGTTATACATTTTACTTTTACATATACAATCCATACAATATTATTATTTTCTTAGTAAATTATATTTTAAAGGATTTTTTAAAAAATATATATTGTCTATTCACCCATATAGTTATTATTTCCAATGCTCTTCATTGTTTTTTGTAGAGCTATATTTTTATCTGGAATCATTTTCCTTATACCTGAACTTCCTTGTTGTGAGGGTTTGGTCCTGATGAATGCTTTCACCTTTTTTATTTCTGCAAAACATTTATTTCACCTTTCTTTTTCAAATATTTTTCATATGTATAAAATTCTAGGTTAATAATGTTATGTTTTGTTTTCTTATTTTCAGGAATTTTAAAAAATTTAATTATTGTGGGTATATAGTAGGCATATTTATTTATATATTATGAGGTACATGAGATGTTTTGATACAGGCATACAATGTGAAATAAGCACATCATGGAGAATGGGGTATTCATCCCCTCACATATTTATCCTTTGAGTCACAAATAATCCAATTACATTTTTAAGTTATTTTAAAATAATACAATTAAGAAATTACTGACTATAGTCACCCTATTGTGCTATCAAATAGTAGGTCTTAGTCATTCTTTCTATTTTTTTTATACCTACTAACCATCCCACCTCCCCTCCAGTCCCCCACTACCCTTACCAGCCTCTAGTAATCATCCTTCTACTCTCTATGGCCTTGAGTTCAATTGTTTTACATTTTAGATCCCACAAACAAGTAACAACATGCGATATTTGTCTTTCTGTTTTCAGTAATTTAAAAATGTTGCTGCGCTGTTTCATCATTTGTAGTATTGTTGACAAGCACTTTGCTCCCATTCTTATCTTTGCTCCTCCATGTGTAATATATGTTTTCTTCTTTAGCTGTTTTTAAGATTTTTTTCTTTCTCACTGGTTTTGGACAATTTGGTTATAATTTGACTTGAGGTAATTGTCTTCATACTTCCTAGATTTGGAATTCATTGACATGCTTGTATCCCCAAGGTTGTATTTTTTTATAAAATTTGAAACCCTTTCACCCATTAGCTTTTTCAATTTTTTTTTGTTTTCTACTTTCCAGTGCTTTAGAAATTCTAATTACGTGTATATTTCACTGTTTAAAGTTATTCTACATCTTACTGCTTCTATGTGCATTTAAATTCTCTTTTCCCTGTATTTTCCATTTTGTATAGTTTTTATTGCCATATTTTCAGGTTGACTAATCTTTTCTTCTACAGTATATAATCTGCTGTTATTCCCATTCAGTATAATTTTTATCTCAGACATTGTAGTTTTCATCTCTCTAAGTTTGATTTGGAACTTTTATTCTCTTTTTTAATTTTTTTAAGTTTTACTTTATTCTAGATTCAGAAGGTACATATACATGTTTGTTTCATGGGTCTATTGTGTATTGCTGGGGACTGGGCTTCTAGTGCCCATTACTCACAAAGTGAGCCTTATACCCAATGGGTAATTTTTCAGCCCTCACCCCTTCTCACTCTTCCCTTTTTTTGAGTCTCCAGTGTCTATTATTTCTATTTTGAGGTCCATGTGTACCCATTGTTTAGCTCTACTTATAAGTAAGAACATGTGGTATTTGATTTTCTGTTTCTGACTTAATTTATCAAGGATAATGACCTCCAGCTCCATCCATGTTCCTGCAAAGAACATACTTTCATTCTTTTTTACATGGTATAGTATTCTATGTGGATGTATATCACATTTTCTTTATCTAGTCAACCACTGATGAACACTTAGGCTGGTTCCATGACTTTGCTATTGTGAACAATGTGCAATAAGTATACGAGTGTAGGTGTCTTATTTATATAGTGACTTTGTTTCTTTTGGTTAGATATCCAGCAATGGCTGTGCTGAGTTGAATGGTAGTTATATCTTTTGTTCTTTGGGAAATCACCGTAATGTTGTCCATTGAGGTAGAACTAATTTACATTCCTACCAACAGTGAATATACATTCCCTTTTCTCTGCATCCATGTGGATCTGTTATTTTTTGACGTTTTAGTAATAGCCATTCTGACTGGTGTAAGATGATGTCTCACTGTGGTTTTAATTTGCATTTCCCTGATGCTTAGCGATGTTGAGCATTTTTTATGTGTTTGTTGGTTGCTCGGTTGCTTGTATTTTTTCTTTTAAGAAATATTTGTTCATGTCCTTTGCCCAGTTTTTAATGGGGTTGATGTGTATTTTTTGTTGTTGAATTGTTTTAGTTTCTTGTAGATTCTAGACATTGGTCCTTTGTCAGAGGCATAATTTGCAAACATTGTCTCCCATTTGTAGGTTGTCTTCTCACTCTGCTGATGATTTCTTTTGCTATGCAGAAGCTTTTTTAAGTCCCATTTTATTATTTTTGTTTCTGTTGCATTTGCTTTTGCGGTATTTGTCATAAACCTTTGCCTAGGCCAATGTCCAGAAGAGTTTTTCCTAGGTTTTCTCCCTGAATTTTTATAGTTTCAGGTCTTACATTTAAGTCTTTAATCCATCTTGAGATCTTGAGTTAATTTTTGTATATGGTGAGAAATAGGGTTCCATTTTCATTCTGTAGTTCTCAGAATAACTGTAGAACATGCTGGGAATGCAATATCTTAAGGAGGAACTGTTTGGAACAGGCTGGGCTCTATTCCTGTCCACTCCGGAACAGAATATCCTTCAATGCTTTACCCCCACTGTATCATTGCCTCCAGATTATAAAATTCAGGATAGGCTGCTTTCTGGGCTCTTTCCCTTTCATTGCAAGTGGAGCATGTGCAAATGAGACTCCCTCTAACCTAGGCAGCTTTTCTGAGCATTGGGGGACTGACTAATCATAAATCCTAGGCTTCTGTTGCCTCATGCTGCCTATCTATAAGTAATAAACCCACTTCATGGAACCTGTGTGTATGAATATTGTGTCTAACTGTACTTGTGCAAGCAATAAAAGTACAGTCCAAGATACAGAAATGAAGTGGCAACCAGTGCAAAGTGAACCTGGTTCGCACTTTTTTCTTGTACTGGTCAGTTTCCCCAGTGTTATATCAGTCCCTTGCCTGGTGCTACAAACTTGGCTACCATCATTCTAAAGTCAAGTTGGAAAAGGAGGATGAAAGTCATAATTAAATGTGAAGAATTCATCTTTTTATTTTCAACTCAACACCTCACTTTACTGTTTTTGGGACTTCTAAGATCAGAGTCTACCTCTCCATAGAATACACCTTGAATCTGTCTTCTGCAGAGAGAAGATAATAAATATGCATGTTCTAAGTGCTCCTAACAGACTGTAAATGAACTATCCTGTTTTCAACCCAACTTCACATTGTTGCTTTCAGATGTGTGTGGAGCTCCAGCATCTCCTTCACTTACTGATCCTCTCTGGAATTCTCCAATGCAAATTTCCTTATTCATTATTGGCTTCTCTCAGTACAGAGTGTGAAGTATTTCCTTTCTCCATTTTGCTTGTTCATAAAAATTTTATCTTCCAAAATTCAGTTTACTTAAGTTTTCAGTTGTTTCCTTCCTGTCCTGTTCTTGCCTTTGTGTGTTCATTACATTACTGCCATTTTAGTACAGTTTGGGAAGCTTTTATACTTAAATACAAATATCACTATAAAGTTAGAACAAAAACATTTTTTGTTTGCAAAAGCCTAGTTATTAAGAAAAGGTTAAACAGATCATGAGAATTCAGAAGAGTAAAATAAACTAATGAGTGTCTAGCACCCTCACGTGTGTGTGTGTAAGTGTGCCTGCGTGCATGGGTGCACTCATATGGGCACACGCATATGCGAATGCATGTGAGAGAGAGTACAATTAGGAAAAAAGGGTTTGTTCTAAAGGTTTGATCACAATTATGCATTGCCTTCTCTGGTGGACTACATCTATTTAGAGACCTAATATTATAGTGGAGATTGGTCCCCATTTAGACTTCTAGTGGAGCTAGGTTCTTTCCTTTGCAGTGAAGAAACAGTAATAACTTTTCCTTAATCATCACAAGGTTCATGGCAGAGACACCTACAATAAAAGATAGATTAACAAGAGAAAATCACATGTATTTATTTAATATATGTTTTACATACCATGGGAACTTTAAAAAAAATGACTCAAAGATACAAGGAAAACTATTTGTTTTGCTTAGGTTAAATAAAGAGTAGACAGTCATGCAAAAGTATGATTGGACAAAAGAGTATAATCTAATGGTAATAAGCTGAGATGAACTTAGCAAGGCTTGGTTTTTCAGCTTCTTCTCTGTGTCCCTCTGTCCTTCAGAGATAAGGACATTCCTTTCCTCTGGTTCTACAGAGGGCACGTCTGAAATAAGGGTCTTAGGACCTCCATCAGGGAAAGGCCAACTATGTTTTATGACTACTCAGGGGAGAAGGGGCAAGGGAAAGGTTAGAGTACTTTGTTGCTTTCATTATTTTTTCAATTGCTAAGGTGCCATATTTTGGCGTAGCATATCCTGAACCCCATCACTTGTCTCAGAATTTAGTAAAAACTCAAGAATGGCAAACAGCAGGTAAATTTCCCTGGTTACAGGGATTGGTTCAGGGAGGAGCATGAGAAACCAGCAGAGCCTATGAAATATCAGGAAATTTTTGCTCAGATTGCCAGAAAGCCCCATGTTCCTTCCCACTGGACTTGAGATGCTGGAGCTGCCACAAACACTGATACACAAGAGGGCAAATATCTGCAAATGAAGCCATGTTAAACGGAAAACAAGGGTCCATATAGGAAAAGAAGGGCTGGGTCCAGAAACAGTGTTTAAATCCTTGTCTACAACAATGTCTGAGCCATATTGTCCCTAGACTGTTCAGTTGTTTCCCAATAAGTTTCCCTGGATTCGATTTTCTATAACTGGCATCTAAAGGAATCCTAATAAATCCACAATGCTCTACTCAGGAAGCTCCCAAGCTTCTCAAGACAAATTATTCTGAACAGAATGAAAAGGAAGTAAGTATTAAGAGAAATATTACCAAACAGTATATTGTTAATAAACAAAAGTTAAGGCCAGGTGCGGTTGCTCACGCCTGTGATCCCAGCACTTTGGGAGGCTGAGGCAGTCGATCACGAGGTCAGGAGCTCGAGACCATCCTGGTCAACATGGTGAAACCCTGTCTCTACTAAAAATACAAAAATTAGCTAGGCGTGGTGGCACGCACCTGCAGTCCCCGCTACTTGGAAGGCTGAGGCAGGAGAATCACTTGAACCTGGGAGGCAGAGGTGGCAATGAGCCGAGATCGTGCCACGGCACTCTAGCCTGGCGACAGAGTAAGACTCTATCTCAATTTAAAAAAAAAAAAAAAAGAGAAATTTGAAACCCAAACCAGTGACCATATGGAAAGGACCATTTAAATTCTCTCACCAGCAGATGTCCTGACCTGATCAATAACTACCCAACTGAATGAGAAAACAGTGGGAAGAAAATAGGAAGAAATCATTTGATCACCAGCAATAGTCAGTCTTTCAGGAACAATGGTGTCAGTGCAGGTGACAAGAAATGGGGGAATAAAGAGAATGGTGCAGTGTACAGTGTCAGTAAACTTGATATCGATTTGGAAAAGATTTGAGAACAAATTATTATGAGACTGCAAGGTCTTAGAAAGGAAAGTCGTAATCATCAGAAACCAGAATAACATCAGGAGGAATGAATTAGGTCAGAATAAACCCAATTATTTTACATTTTTATTGTGAACAGGATGTAGATATGAGGTCCAGAAAACAATATTACATGAATGTTTATATAGTTGAATAATATGGTCCAAGGAATGTTGAATAAAAAATACAAAAAAAAAGTCACACTTGACTAGAGATCAGTAGTTTTATACTTGAGATTCACACCTCAAACCTTTTCTGTTAAAATATTTTATCATGGCCCTAGACAAAAAATGGACAACTTCTTTATCTCTTTAGTGGGATAGCAATACAGTCAAAGACAGAGTTAGGGCACTAACAGTAACTACTCTTCATTGAACACTCACTCCATTCCAGATGTCCTATCAATGACTGGGCATATATCAATTCTATAAATAGCTCACACAATAATATTAAGCGATTTAGTATTGCCCTTACTTTATAGATGAGAGAATCAAGACTTTAAGATCCTATAATTGACTTTATTATACTGATGATGTCCCAAAGCCAGAAATATCAGAGTCAGGATTTAATCACAGGTCCTACAGTCAAAATTTGTGCTCTTAACCCAAAATTTGTGCTCTTAAAATGGACATACGGTATGTAAACAAGATAAAAATATCTGCTTAAATCCAAAAAGAGCTCCAATATAAAAGTAAAAAGTGAGCTTAGAAGAAACAGTGTTGAAAGGTAACATGGGTTAAAATGATTTGGTAATTTGGGTTGACTTCAAGCTTAACAAAAATCAAGACAATTATGGAACGGCAAAAAAATTAATGCTACTCTGAATTGACTGGACCACATCTGCGACATCATATATAATTCTTGTAGCCATGGTTCAAGAAGCAATTAGATATACTTGAGCATGTTCAGGCTAATTTAACTAGAAACTGAGTCATGAGAAAAAAGAAGAGAGAATATGGGCTTAAAAGGGGAAATATATAGGATGAGCACAGGTGCAGTCTTCAAATGTGGGAAAGGCTATCAAGTAAAAGAGGGATTAAAGTCATCCTACACTGATTCAGCATTATGATTACAGTGTACTGATGTCAGCTCAAGGGACTGCACATGGAATCTATTTTAACCTGATTCTCTCATGTTGCAGAAATAAAATGAAACTGAAAATATAAGTTATTTGTTCACAGTCACATTAGATATTGGTAAAGCTGAGACTAGAATTCATGTCTCAAAAATTCCAGTTGGAGAGGCAAAACCTCCTCCTCATTAGACTATTAAAAGGGAAAATAGGCAACAATATCTTTATCTAAAACCACCACTACCTTTGAACTTCTTGGTAAGCAGGGCCCAGGATTAAGAAAAGGGTAACTCATTTAAAATAATTAATAAAAACTCTGTTAATTGAGAGAATTTATCTGTAGGTGGTAAATCAGCAATTTCCATACTTATCCCATTGTTTCATTTTAAAAGACTAGAATGCTTAACAGTGTATCTTAAATAAAGGTTCCTCTTCAGATATTAGAAGGACGTGGTCTTTTCTAATCCTGCCCCTGGACTTTTACATGGCAAAACCATTCATTTTTTCCCCCCAGTACCTAAAGCTATAGGACTGACTGTCCTCCCTTTGAGGCCACTTCTGGGAAGTCAGCCTTCCAGTCCGCTCCTTTTTGCGTGGGAGTAGGAGCAGCTGAGGGGAAGCAGCGATGGCATGGCTCAGAACACACCCACCCGATTGCCTTCCTGCTCCTGAACATCAGTTGTTGAGCGGGGGAAAGAAGCCAGAATTATCACCAGCTGTTTCCCAAGCTGTTTTGGCAGAGACTCACAGAAGAATAGACGCCCCAGGCATATTCTTGAGTAATGTTACTGGAACTAAAGCTCTGTCTCCAGAAACATACAATACAGAGAAGAGATAAATGGGCTTGATCTCTTTCTCTTTCAATCTCCATACCAGAAGGCTTTTTTGAACACTGCCTACCAAGTTTACAATCTCTAATGTTTGCAACAGTCACCAACACTTTAATGATCCTATATTCAATCCTAATTTCCATAAATTTTGGTACCATTTTTATTAACTAAGACCAACTGGAATTGGTTTTGATATAGTGAGAGGGAGTCAAAACAACTGAAATCAAACCAGCTGGATTTTTATTTTTATTTTGTAGCCCCAGTATACTATACAAAGAATTACTTTGAATTTGACTAGGGAGATGTTATCCCAAGCAGTAAGTGATGTGTCAGATTGCAAAGTCACTTTTCAATTTTGGCTGTATGTATGTAGCTTGAAGAAGATTGTAGAGCAGAGCTGCAGTACAATTGATGGCTTAAGTTGCTAATTGTAGTCAACAAACACAAGAAATGGTATTTATTATGAGGTTCTAATTATACATGCATCTCCATGAACATTGCTATCCATCATGTGTCTCATACTATTTTTACATAATTGGGAGAAATGTCCCCAACATCATAATATATAAAATAATCTTTGTTCAGTGTATATAAATTCATCTGAAAATGTAAATCACCCAGTTTTTTTTAATGACAAAGAACACTTGGAAAGCGAAGAATGTTTAATGAAAGTTCATGTAGAAAGGAAGCCAGTCAAGTAAAATGCAAATGTTGTACCAAAAGTTTATTGAGAAGTCAGAGCTAAGAGAAATGTTAGTAGCTCTTAAATTATTTTCCTTTGAGGGTTTTTCCAAAAGGATTCAAGATATCTCACATGTTTTAGTGCATGACTGTTTTCTTGCCAAATCTAACTTGAAATATTATATTCTAAATATACATGTCACATAATCATGAATATCCTTTCCCTTACTTGAATGAGGTCTGGCCAAACATTTTCCTGGCAGTTATTATGTCTATAAGAATATACTAGATATTATAGAGCTAGCCAAAAAATTGGTAGGCTAACTGCCATATAAGAATATGAAAATACTTATTTGATCAATATTAACAGGCTTTATGAAACAGGCTGTATAACATAGCTATTATTTGACATCAGCCTTTCAAAAGCATTCACTGGTAGAAGGAAAAAAAAGGTTGATTTGGCAAAGTACCACTATGAAGTTCATTTATCTCTTTATTTTATCTAATGAGGAAGAGGAAATTTAAACATGCAAAAATAAAAAGGAAAACTGCATTCATCTTCCACTAGAAACAAATTAGGGTTTCATTAAACAAAAGTACTTGCTATCCTTATGCTCATTTCTTTAAGAATGTTGATACTCTGCATCTGAATGCCTTCTATTTCTTTTAATTGTCTTACAGCACCAGCAAGGACCTTCACTATAATGGTGAATGGAAATGGTGAAAACACACTTTCTTGCCTTGTTCCAAATAGTGACAGACAGGTTTTAATCTGATCATGTATAACTATTGTAGATCCTGTTTATCAGATTGAGGAAATTCCCTCCTATTCCTAGTTTACTGAGAAATATTATCTGAGAGAATATTAAATTCTCTCAAAAGAGTCTCCTGCATCAATTGAAATGATCTTATGATTTTTCTCTTTTATTCTTTTAGTATAGTGAATTGCATTGATTGATTTATAAATGTTAACCCAGCCTTGTATTTCTGGGATAAACCCTACTTGGTCATTATCTATTATTCTTTTTATATATTGTGGAATTTAATATTTTGCATCTAGGTTTATGAAGGATATTACCCTATAATTTTTTAAACTTATAATGTCTTTCTCTGGTTTTGATTCCCAGCCACGTGTGGGCTCTGCCTGATCCCTTCTGGTGGGTCTTTTCCACGCCTCGTGTAATTTCCTCACATGCATGTGAAGCATGAACAATATTCAGCTCAAAACTTCACTCCAGATTTCAATCTTTCTCTGTGCAGCTCTCTTCTCTCCAGTACACTGCCCAAAGTCTAGCCACTGTATGCATTTTAAACTCTGTCTCCTCAACTTACAGAAAACACTGAAATTTGGGGGGTTTCTCCTCCTTGGATTGCTGCGCTTCTAATGCAGTGAGAAACTGAGGACAGCTTATCTGAGGGCTCACTCTCCGGAGTTGCTTGCTTTCCACCATCTAAATCCACTTTTTTCACAGATTTTGTCTGGGTCTTTTCAGTTGTTTAATCCAGGAGGATAAATCTCATCCCCATTACTCCTTCCCTCAAAAATTCTTAACAGTTTTTAAAATGCTTAGCAAAGTTCTGGTAAGCAAGCCAAAGTGTATAGGGTCAAGAAGAAATAAAAAACCTTTTCTTGTAGCTTCTTTTATGTAATTTTTTTTTTTAAGACAAGGTCTTGCTATGTTGTCTAGTCTGGACTGGAACATCTGGGTTTAAGCAATCCTTTTGCCTCAGCCTCTCAGTAGCTAGGACGACAGGCATGTGCCACCATGCCGAGCTTACAAATTTTACTCTAGAAAAACGTATTTTTAAAAATTATTCCTTAGACCATAAATTTACAAAATAAATCTCATCTAGTTTCTCTTTACATATTTTAAACTCATGCCTCAAGAACAGTTATAAAAATATTTGTGCCTTAAAACAATACACACAATTTTTTTTGAAAATCTAGCATTCCTAAAGAACTTTTAAAAAATAAATTACTTTTAAATTCTAATAGGTCTCTTTGAAACTTTGCTCCATCACATAATTTGTTAATTTGAAACTGATATTACACCAGTGTTCTCCAAGCTTGATTCAAAGCTGTGATATGCTGAAGAGTGTTATGAGAAATTATACTGATAATGCAGTGTGTAGAAACCAGTTATCAAATGGCAATAACGGTACTCATTTTCCAAGAAAAATATTAGTTTTAATAATAATCTTTCCTATAAACTCAAATGAGAAGTGAACATAGCAAAGGTCTTTGAGTATATTAACATTTACAAGAAGCTTAGATGTCCAGTTTCTAATGTTGAACAAGTTTTATAAATAATAAGATGCAAGAATCTTTTAGTTACTAATTAAAAATTATTTACATTATATTAGACAATAAATTAATTAAATTGTTCTAGTTTTAATTCCATACTTTTCCAAACATACATTCTTAATTTAATCAGGTCTAAATGATTTTGGTTTAAAATTCACTATCTTTTCATGATTGATAGATAGTTAGATATTAATCTACAACCCACCTTCGAGGAAACAAACGTTCAGAAGAGTATTTCCAAGAGTATTGGAAAAGTACAGATATTCTTCCATCTTCTATAAAATTAATACTGCTGAAAACTGGGACAAGTATATTTCAAGACTTCTGGTTAATGCTTAAGGGTTATGGGAGTAAATGAGAGAAGCTGACCATATAAACACTGAAAACTGGTTTTCATTTGCTCTAACACCACAACCAGCTTAGGGAAGAAGTTCAGTTCTTTCTGGTTCTTGGGGGAAAAGTCTATATTAAAAGTGGGCTAAAAATTATCTTAGAAAAATTATCTTAGAAAGTTGAAAAAAGTTCAGCAAGTGATGTTGGAAGTATGGAGATAGTATTGTGTGAAGTAAGGAAGTATTTAATATTTTCCTAACTTGCAATAATTTCATAATTAACAGTTAGGCATTAAATACACCAACATGACAATAACTGAAACTTGAACTTAAACATTCAATAAAATTTGTTATAATATTCGCTTGCCTTTCAGGAAATGAACTGTTTACACTTTTATCCTCTAATAAAAAGTGCTTTACATTTTTCATTATAATTGGGCTATTTTAAGAACACTATCACTTGGCTAATTCCTTGTCACTTGCTGAATTTAAAAGTTGCTCCAATAACATAAAGTTCATTTAACCTAAAAAAACTCATTTTTAACCTGCAAATACTCCAGGCACACTTCCCATCTGGGAAATGTTAATCAGATTTGGCAGGGAGGGGTGCTTAGGGGGTGGGGAGTGCATATTCTAAAAGTACTCAAACTCATATTGGAGTCCATGGCTTCAATGGGAAACAAGTTGAATTTTCTAGGGAAACATATGCTCAAGCACCCCATTCACAGCATGCACCCTGGGGCTGAAATATGTTTTCTGGTGGGTTGTAAGCAAAAGAAACGTTAAATATTATTGACGGTAATGGAGTAGTCAAAGATAACTTTTATCACAGTGTTTTGCATTTTTCTCATATAATTTACTATCTAATAATTATTTTGCTTTCAATAATTAACCTGTTTTATTGGACTCCTGTGCATTACTTCAAATGTTCTTGGGATCAACATTCTTATCCCACCTGCTCCTGTGATGATCAATTATATATCTGCTTTGACTCCTTTTACTTAGATCTAACCTGACAGCACCTGACCAGATGCATCTTGCTTGTTTCTCTAGGGTTTCACTGGTGCCTTGAGAACCTTTGACACCTGTTTGCAGCTCGAAAGTCCATGGAGCACCTTTATGACCAATAAAAGAGAAGGACCAATGTATAAATATTTTTTTCTTCTCTGAGGATGGGCAATTCTGAGATGCATTGCATAAAGCATCAAGTTAATATTTAATCAGTTGAAGTATAAGATATTGCAACTCCCACATACCTGGCTTAAGGCAGGATACAAAGGCATAGAATAGAAATTGAATCTGAGAACATCCAAAAAGATGTCATGAGTCTCATTGTTTTATGGACTCTGGCCATAAAACAATGAGACTCGTGAAGGTATAAAAATCATGAATAATTTTCATAATTCTCCTTCTCCAAGGCCCCAAATAAATCCTTTCACTTCCTGAAGGAACCAATTGACTTTTTCTTTTTCTCAAGATTGTCAAGAGAGATTTTTATCCTCCCAGACTTGAATGTCTTCTGATTAGAGAAATATCTGCCCAAAAAACGTCAAAAAAGGAGAAAAAGAAGAACCTAAGGAACATGAACGTGTCATAGAAATTTCTCTGGGTGGTAACCCAGCCTCAAACGGACCAACTGTGTGCAAAGCTGTTCCCCATTTTCCTAAAGGAACAATGCTGCTCTTAATAGTACTTATTTTTCAGGGGGCCCAATTTCAGATATGTTGGTTTTGGCAGGCTTCTGCTAAAGCTGTATTTTTTTCCTACTGAATTACAGTAAGAACTAAGTATTAGAGGCTGTAATTAAAGGTTGGTGAGGCAAAACTGGAAATGTGCTCAATGGGCTGCACTCAGATCCAACTGATCCGGATACATCAAAATATTGGTCAAAACTCCCCATTTATGAATCAGCTCAGTTCTGGACTGAAGAGAAGCTTTTGAGACCCTCTGGATGCTTTCTCCCAGGTTCTCTGTTATGGGTTGAATTGTCATAGGTCTTCATAAAGGTTATTAAGTTATAATAAGGCCAAATGGTTGAGGCCCTAATTCAGTATGTCTAGTATTGCTAGACATAAGAACAAAAGACACCAGGATGTGCACATACGGAGGAAGGGCCATGTGAAGACACAGGAAGAAGCCGTCATCTGCGAGCCAAGGAGAGATGCCCCAAGAGGAACCAAACCTAATGACACTATGATCATGGACTTCTAGTCTTCGAACTGTGAAACAATCAATCTCTGTTTTTTCAGCCACCCAGTCTGTGGTATTTTGTTCTGGCAGCCCTAGCTGACTTGGATAGTCTCCCATGGTGAAGGTGCCCTGTGGGCCAGGCAGAGATTCTTGTTCCCAGAGCATGGCACGGCCTTTCCTGTCTACTGGCTTTTGCATGTGATACTCATGTCAGTAGGATACCCTCCTTTATTTCTTCACATATCCAAATCCTACTGTCTTTCCATGGAAAGGGAAAGCCCCTACACTACTGGTAAACTGGTAAGCATAAGCTTTTATAGACCTTATGAGGAGAAAATTTGATAATACCTATTAAGAGCCTTAGAATGTTTATCCTCAGATAGAGTGACTCCATTTTCTGGAATTTATCTTAAAAAAGTATTAAAGATGTGTCCAAAGATTAAGCTATATGGATGCTCATCAAAATATTTTGAGTACTGCAAAACTGGAAATATCTAAATGACCAACAGAAGATAAGGTAACAAACTCGTTAAAATGATGCTGCTTAAGTTTATTATTGCAGAAATATGCTAAATAAAGCATGGTATTAAGAAAAAAGCAAGTAATATAATTTTAATACATATATTCATATAGAAATAGTTCTGCAAAAATATATGCTATCAACAATTTGTATGTATAATAAACATCACATTTTATTTTATTTATTATTTATTTATTACATTTTTTGTAGCAACAGGGTCTCCCTATGTTGCCCAGGCTGACCTCAAACTCCTGACCTCAAATGATCCTCCTGCCTGAGCCTCCCAAGATGCTGGGATTACAGGAAACAAATATACATCAAGTTATCAGCAAAGATAGCAGCTGCTTGGTTTGCTTATGAAGTTTTTGTTTTGCTTTGTTTTTGCCTTCCTTGATATAATTTTTCTGCAATAAACATTTGTTGCTTTAAGAAAAGTAGTTCTCCTTTCCAAAAAATAGAAAAAGATTTTCTGTCTTTCAAGTCCAACTTTATTCATTACTACATTTTTAAACAAATATTATTTAGAGTCTGCTACGTATCAGACACTCTTCTAGGTACTTGGCTACCTACGTCAGTGAGATAAAGATGCCACTGTAGTATACTTTACATTCTAACAGAGGAATAATATTATAATAATAAATTACATCATATGCTAGAAAGTTATAAGTGCCATGGAAAAAATAAAACAATGAACAGAATAAAGGGAATTGGAAATACTGTGATCAGGTTACAGTTTGTTTTATTGAATAGAGTGATCAGAGTAAACCTCATTGAGAAGGCAAGATATGGGCAAAGAATTGAAGAATCTAAATGAAGATATGTGAACAAAGAGCATCTCAAGCAGAAACAGTTCCAAGGTGAGAGCATGTCTAGCCTGCTGGAGGAACATTACGGAAGGTTTGGTTAGAGGAGCTGTATTGTGGAAAAGTATGAGAAGAGGAGATCAGGGAGTTGACAGGAAGAGAAGACCACACAGGCCTTTGTAGATCATTGTTAGGAGTTGGTTTAACATCATCTCACATTCCCAAAAGAATCTGGCTGCTGTGATGAGACTGGATTGCAGAAGGGCAGGGGCAGAAGTAGGGACACAAGCGGCAAAATCAATGCAGCATTCCAGGAAAGAGATGACTGTGGCATAGCCCAGGGGTAGCAGAGGAGGTAGTACAAAGCTGGTTAGATTCTTGATTTTTTCCGAACGTTTTTAATGTAAATTTTAAAACATAGAGTAAATTTCAAAAAATTTTGCAGCAAATATTCATATATGCATCACTAGATTCTCTGATTAAAACTTGATATACTTGTTTTATCACATGTTCATGCATCTGTTTATACTTCTATCCATCTATCAATGCATATTACTTTAATGCTTTGCAAAGTTTCAAGCATCAGTACACTCCCACCAAAATACTTTTGCATTTATCCCAGAGTTTAATATTTTTACAGTACTTTTTTTGAAGTTAAATTTATATAAAATGAAATGCACAAATTTTAAGTGTACCATTTGACAAATGCATACATTTGTGAAACTAAATTTTTATAATGATAAAGAACATTACTGTAACCTCAGGCAGTTCCCTTATGTCTGTTTCCAGTGATTCACTATCCCTAGGCTCAAAGCAACCATCATTCAAATTTCTTCCACTGAATGTTAGCTTCACCTCTTTTAGAACTTCATGTAAATGAAATATACTGTATGTGTTATATTTTGTAAGTATTCAAACTAACAATTTTGATATTCATCTATATTACTGCATATATCAGTAGTGCTTCCATTTTAGTGCTAAATAATTGTCCATTGTATGAATATACTACAGTTTTTTTCATATTTTCTCCTATTGATGAACAACTGGGCAGTTTAGAGTTTGGTGCTATTATGAATAAAGCTTTATGAACATTTTATACAGGGGTTTCAGTGGATACATTTTTTCATCTCTCTTTGGCAAATACATAAGGGTAGAACTGCTAGCTCAAAAGATAACTACATATTTTATAAGTATATGTTTTATAAGAAACTGCCAGATATATTTTCCAAAGTGTTTTACCATTTTACATTCCTACTAACAACATATAAAAGTTCCAGTTGCTCTAAATCCTTGCCAATATTTGGTGTTATCAGTCTTCTTTTTTAATATTAGCCATTCTAGTGGGTACATAGTGGTATCTCAATTTGTTTTAAGGTGAATTTCTATACACTTATTTTTAAGGTAATTTTTCTGTATTAATTCTTCCCAGAGCATTCCAGGTCATAGTATTTTCTCTCTTTCTACTGGCATTTGTTACATTAGTGAATGTACCTCATCTGACTATTTTTCACCTATTGCCTCACATATTTAATTTTTTTCCTATAGTAATCCTTGTTTTTTAATAAGATTATATTTACCTTGAGAGTAGAGTCTTTATTCTTCTTCTGTGTTCCCTGTAATAACTAAAACAACACTGGGCTTAGAATAGCCACTCCATAAATGTTGGTGGGTAGGACAAAGTTAAAAATCAACCTTGGAGATGAATAAACTGTGGCATGCTTATACAATGGTATGCTACTCATCAAGAAGAACGAGCTAGCAAGTCAGGCAAAGACATGGGTGAATCACAAATGCATATAGGTACAGGAAAGAAACCACTCTTAAAAGGCAGTATACTCTATTTTGCCATTAATATGAAATGTGGGAAAAGCAAAACTATGCAGAGTATACTCAGATCATTGGTTTCCAGGGCTCAGTGTGGGGAGGTGAGTCAGTGGGAAGATTGAATAGGTGAAGCACACGGGTTGTTTTTACAGTGGTATAACTATTATGTATGACACTATAATGGTGGATACTTGACACTGTGTATTTGTCAAAATCCACAGAATTTACAACCCAAAAAAAAATTGAACCTTAATCCATGCCAATTTAAAAAAAAAATCATTTAGGATGTCAGAGTAACCCATGATGGAATACAAACTGTGATAAAAGAATCTAATTACATTAGAAATATATGAAACAACCAATGACATGGTGCTGGGGAAAGTAAGTGGAGTCTATATGACTCTTATTTATTTATTTAAAGCCAAAGAATAGCATGTTTATTTCACTTAAATTCTTAAAAATACTTTTTTGGCACTTACTCCATAAAATGTCCTAACATTAAAAAAAATTCATTGAAAAGAAAAGCATTTTTAAAAAACCCAAAATGTTAAGATTTTATTTACAAAGCTTTTTGATGTATAGAAAGTAAAAATGCTGTTAGAATCTTGGTGTAAGTGGTAGCCACTATCTACAATGCATGTAAGCACCATGCTCTACTTGAAGAAATTGTTTCCAATTGAGGATATGGGTTAATATTTCTCAAACCACTACATAGGCATACAGGAATTGAACAATTAAGGAATTGAATGATGAATGGTGGAAGCCAGGTTTCTTACTTTCGGAGTAGAAGGTTGTAGACAAGCAAGATGAGAAGGTTAGAATGACCCATGTTGTAATGGATTAGAGTTGGAGAAATCAGTATGAACCCATGTTTAGCTTCATATACATAAAGATCATTACATATAGGCATACTTATGGTTTTTTGCTTATACACGGTTCACACGCACACATATATTCCTTAATCTATCAATTAACGAGGTCTAAAAGCAAAGATACCCCAATAGCAATGGGCACACCCAACACCCAGATCTAATGCCATTCTCCAATAAAATAAACCAGGGCTCCCAGGAGAAATGGCTGATTCTAAGATTAAGGCAAGAAATATACACGATGAGCCTGAAGCATCTTGTAGTGCCAAAAATAAAGAAGTTCTCAAACACATACACACACACACACACACACACACATCAATGGTGATATGTCAAAGGGGCATAGAAGCCAATTGAAAAGGCCTTTAATGTACCAAAGATGGAACAATTTCAGTAAAAAATAAAGTAGCACTGGATTATAATTCAAAGTATAAAACAAATATTATTGGCTTCATGCTGACATGAATAATTGAATCAATTCAATAAATGAGGGAGAATAGACAAAGTTCTCATACAGAAGAATTCCAAAAAATTTATGAAGATATTTTACCCTCAAGGAGGTGGATAACTCCCTACTCCTTAAATATTGACTGTACCTACTGACTTCTCTCCAAAGAGTACTGTATTGAAAGGAGGGGAGGGGAAGAAAAACTTCACAGTGTAGAAACCTGGCAAATGCTACCTCAGCCAGGTGATCAAAATTAATATCAACAGTGATAGGTCATTTTGAGAGTATGTACACTTGGTATGATGTGATGAGAATGAAAATTTTCTTCTGTGGTCTTCCTCCCAAAAATCCATAACCCCAATCTCAGCATGAGAAAAACATCAGACAATTCCCTATAGAGTAGTATTCAACAAAATACCTGACCATTACTCTGCAAAAATGTCAAGATCATCAAAAACAAGGAAAGTCTGAGAAACTGTCACAGACAGGAGAAGCCTAGGAATACATGATGACTGAACATAATATGAAACTTTGGATGGGGTCCTAGAACAGAAAAGGGACATTAGATAAAACTATGGAAATAAGAATAATGATAGGTTGTAGTTAATAATGGGAAAATATTGGTTCACTAATAGTGACAAATATATCATAATGTAGGATGATAATGAGGGAACTAGGTACTGTGTATATAAGAAATCTCTGTACTATCTTTATAACTCTCCATAAACATAAAACTGTTATAAAATTTTAAAAGTGTATTAAAATGAGTAGATTAAAGCTACATGCACTAATAGGAATGAAACCCACAAATACACTGTTTGTTTGTTCATTTGTTTGTTGTTTGTTTTGAGATGGGGTTTCACTCTTGTTGCCCAGGCTGGAGTGCAATGGTGCAATCTTGGCTGACTGCAACCTAGGCCTCCCGAGTTCACATGATTCTCCTGTCTCAGCCTCCCAAGTAACTGGGATTACAGGCATGCGCCACCACACCTGGTTAATTTTTTGTATTTAGTAGAGACAGGGTTTCATGAGCTGGTCTTGAACTCCTAACCTCAGGTGATCCACTCACGTCAGCCTCCCAAAGTGCTGGGATTACAGGCGTGTGCCACCACGCCAGTCCTGACAAATACACCGTTGAATGAAAGAAATAAAAGAGAAAATGATGGATAATGTATGACATTGTTTACTTAATTATGAAGATGGACTTATACATGGTATTAGAAATCAAGAGAGTGGGCCAGGCACAGTGGCTCACACCTGTAATCCCAGCACTTTAGGAGGCTGAGGCAGGCAGATTCACTTGAGGTCAGGAGTTCAAGACCAGCCTGGCCAACACAGTCAGTCTCTATTAAAAATTCCAAAAATTACTTAGGAGTAATGGTGGGCACCTGTAATCCTAGCTATTAGGGAGGCTGAGGCAGGAGAATCGCTTGAGCCCAGGAGACGGAGGTTGCAGTGAGCCAAGATCACACCACTGCACTCCAGCCTAGGTGACAGAGCGAGACTCTGTCTCAAAAAAAATAAAATAAAATAAAAAATAAAAATAATAAAAATTTAAATTTTTTTAAAAAATTTAAAAAATAAAAAAAATCAAGAGAGTGGTTTCCTGGAGAAATAGTCCTAGACGGGAAGACAGATACTTCAAAGGTGCTAGTGATACTCTGCATTTTGATCTGAGTGGGGGTTATACTAGTGTGTTCACTTTGTGTTTATTATTGAGCAGTATACTTATGAATCACTCGCTTGTATGTATGTATACATTTAACACGTCAATAAAATATTTTAATTAAATGTTGTGCATGTTCTGATATCTCCAGGATTTCCACATAAAGTTATATCATAATCTGTTTTCAAGCAGTGTGATTGCTGATTTTTAGGAAAAAAAATATTTTTTATACCTACTAATATCTCATTAGCTACTTTTGCAACATTCTATTTTTTAAAAGATGAAAGTTGTCTTTCTACTACGATTTATGGATTGTCTCATTTTTAGAGGAATTAGTTCCAAATTATAAGTCAGAATAGATCAGAATAAAGTTCCTTATTTTCTTATGAAGATGTGAAATTATGAATCCTCAAAATAAAATTTCTGAAAGAAAAGATCTAATATAATCAAAGACTAGATAAGAAGGAAATCTGATATCCAATGACCAAATCTGGCTAATGATGAACTATAATAACATAATGGTTTCTTACACATTTCCAATGAGTTCATGTAATTTAATGCTTTATTATTTTCTTTAGCCATCCTTGCTCTTCTATAGTCACATATTGGCTGACAGGACTTTGATAACTAGTCAAGAAGTTATCTATAAAAAAATCAATTGCCTAGACATTTAAAATAGAGTATTAGCATTTGTGAGAAACATGTAAGTAAAACCACTAATGGTATGGATTTTTATTATACATGCTATTTGTATGTACCTATCTGCCATGTTAACTAAGTGAGTAAGTCAGCAATGTTTCCTCTTCTGGTAACTAAAGGGAAGTTTCAGTGGCCAATACAAAGCTAAAGATATCCCTATCACATAGATATTTAACCTTTGCCTAGACTCTTTGATGTCGACAAGCATGTCATTTTAAAATGCCTCAGTTTGGCTGGCATGGTATCAATTGATGTCCAAGAAACAGACACAATTATACTTTGTCACTGTTTATCATTTATCCTCCTTTCTGCCCAATGATTAACAAAGGAGTGGTTTTCACTGTTTAGTCTCTTGTTAAGATGGGATGCAAGATCTAAAGCCCCAGGGTAAGTTTTCTCCAATAGACTCTGTTTAGTCCACTGGTGAAATTACAGTATGTGGTTTAAAAAAATCTTTGAATGTTCATCTTTATTCAAATATATATAATCTCCTGCCAGATAAGATTTGGGAAAGTACATTAAAGAGAAAGTTCTCAACATTTTCACAAAGAAAAAATAAAATGTTTCTAATTCAATATTTTTTTTCCAGGTCGAATTGCATTTGATTAGTTTCCTAATACTGAAAACGCTGCTTGCTGACCAAAGAACAAGAAAATTTTATTTGCAGTAATTTAATATATAAAAAAATTGGGCAGAGAATTAATAATTTAAATAATTCCATCCAAATTAAAGATATATAACAAACAAGATTGGGACTTAAAATTACACTGTAGGTCAGAAAATATTTTTAATGTCATTTCCCATAATTTTGGTTACAAATAGCATATGATTTGAAGTCCTCCACCAAAACTTTGTTGCTTAGATTCAAACGAATACCAACAGTTTGTTCCCTTCCCAACTAGTCATTAGAGTTCCTTCTTTAGAGAAAAAAGCTTCTTCTTCAAGTACACTAGTATCTCCCTTCACCATAAAAATAAAATGTGCATCTTTTTTATCTCCCAAGGAGATGTGGACAATATAAGAAGAGTCAGAGTTTCTTGGTTCCTCTTGGAAGCATTAAGTAACTGTTGCTTATACAATTCACAAAAATATCTATAATTTTTTCTTAATAGAAATTAAATTTGTAGATCACAATAACATATTCCTTGACTATAATGTCACTGGGAACAAAGCTTGCTTCAAATGAAGTAATTTATTCTGAGCAGAAAAAAAAGAATAAATATCCCATTGCAGATGGGCTTTTTTTAACAAAATGCTTTGTGCCCCAATTCTCACTCGCACAAGTCTTTTGCAGCATCTATATATTTGATATAAGGACAATTCCCATGGAGTCAGGCAGTATTTCCCAGTGTTTTTCTGTAGACTAGTGCCTTGGTGTTAAAAAGAAAGTTTTCAGGCTCAAATAAATTTGAGAAACACCACATATTATTTGTAATTCTTGTAACTCTTGGAGAGTCAAAACATACATTGACATAATATGAGCTTTAAGAAATATTTTAAAAGAGAAATCTGTTTAATTTAGTTTACATCAGTGGTTACCAAATTTAGTGGGTCATAGAATATATGTAATTTTATGCACATATGCGTGTCTATGTATGTATGTTTTTGTGCATCTGTGTAAAAGAAACACTTATTAACATTTCATGGCAATCAGTGCTTTTTGGGAGGCACTAGGGGTAACAGCTTAAGAAATTATAACTCCAGAAAGCCAATGTTAAAACACAAAGAGGAGTAAATACCCATTCATGTCAATATCCATTAATAGGTGGGGCAAGCATGAAAGCCCAGAATGAAGTTCCTTAGATAAGCAGGAGAGAATGCTAAGACAATGGGCACCTGCTTCAGGCAGGAAGTTCAGCAAATTGTGAACCCCTTAGAAAGACGCAGAAGAGAGACTTGTCAAAAAAAAAAAAAAAAATCAGTAAGTTCACAGTCTGCCCCAAGATTAACACAACTACTTACACATAAGGAAAGCCCATTATCCTTTGAAAGAAAAGTTCTCATTCTTATCAGAAGTTGAGAATATACACGTTTTACTAGGTAAGAGGGCTGTCATTAAAATATTTACAAAGGTTGAATTGTGAAGTTATTTCATTTGAAGCTCATACTGCAATATAAAGATACTATAATATGAAAGCAAAATTTAATGAAAGATGTTCAATATCAAAAATATAAGCAGTTTACAAATCCAAGATGAGTGCCTATAGTAGAATATATCTAGTTTTTCTGTTTTCCTTTATTCTGGGAATACAACTATACATTTCCCAGCCTCCCTTATAAGTAGGTGAAGATGTTAAGTCCGAGTTTGGGCCAATTGAACGTGGGTGGAAGTGATAAGCCTCTCTTGTAGGCTTGGTCCATAAATATCCTCCCATAGGATCACACACTCTGTCTCTTCACCCATTTGTTTGCTGGGGGTAAAAGAATTGGCAGAGGCCTATGAGACTCTAAAGGATAGTAGCACCAAAGATTAGAAAGAAGCTGAATTCCTAAATCAATATATAAAAGGCTGCCCCCAAAAAACTTACGTTAAACTATCTTACGAGCAAGAGATAAAATTGCATGATCCTAATTAATTGAGATTTGGTACATGTTGAAGCAATTAGACTACCCCAACTTATAGAATGCCCAAAGAAGAGATTAAGAAATTGCATATAGTACCTTTTAGTCTTCCTCAAGAACTGGGCTTTTGAAGTATTTCTTACAATAAATATAGAAAGCACTTTACTTTGAAAAGTCCCCTTTAAATTTGAAAGAATATTTATTAATCATTACAATGAAATATCAGTTAACATTGAAAATATCAATATCACAAAAAGACTATTTAGATAGCAGTAAGCTTAACAGTAAGCTTAACATTCTTGAATAACGTTGAAAGGCCTGCATAATGTGCCTTGATGTATTAAAGAGTATAAATGAGGAACATAAGAGAAATCTTTTGAAATTATATATTCCATAGTTACAAAAATACAAACAATAGAAGGAAGGCTTTATGGAAGGCAGAATAGCAAACTAGAATAGCAGCTGGAGAGAACACAATCATCTTTATAACTGGCCCCGAGGTGGTTCTGTCACCTAGATGGCTGTTGGAGTAACCTGGTGCAGGTGCTATTTGCCAGGAGTCTAACCCACATGGCTTCTGCAACTTGTTTCCTAAGATTTGGCTGGTTAGGATTAGAGAAAGTATACTTGGCTGCTAAAGACAAATTGTGGCTAAGAACAGATTTCCCACTTCTATAATAGTCAATAGCTTCATATAATCAGGCAAAAGATGATTATGTGAAGTCAGTTGGAATTAGTCTCTTTCTGCTGTATGCTCCAATATAACTAAGTTAACACTTCAATGCTAGCATTTATCACTTTGGAGATCCACTGCTAGATTCATGAAAGTTCCTGGTGGTCAATTAATCCCTGAAACTTCTGAATCAACATATCCTGACAGCCTTTAGAACTTCTTGCTTACAAATTGCTTTATGTGACTTCTGTAACATGTACATCTCCTTTAAAATTACGATTTTATAACTCACCTTAATTTTTTTCTTGAAGAAATCATATCTATTCAGCTTTCACAGAAGGTGACCTTCCCAGCAAGATTATGGCAGTTGTAAAAAAACTAAACATTCAGTTCTTGAAATGATACTTGGCAAGGTTGAATGTGTACAAGGGAAAAAATGTATCTGGACATATATTGCTCAAACAATCCTTTATAGAAAAGGTTCTCAAATTTCTGAAGGGCTCCATAACCCCACAGAAAAGTAAGGTAAGGCTACCTTGCTCAGGAGATCAAATGTGATGGTATCCACATTATCAGCACTAAAGGAAATAGTAAAAGAGGGCTTCAAATAATTTCAATAGTTGAAATGAGGACTCTTGCTCTTTCCAAGTATAGTAATATCTAACACCTCTTTTGCACTTCGTGGCTACAAAAGTTGCCAAAGGAGATTTTTTCAGTGCCATTATATCATGCTGTCTGCTTTGCAAAGGACTGGAATCATCAGTCTGATTCATCGCATGCCAGTTGCTGATGCTACAATCCCACAGAAAATGACTAAAATTTAACACATTTTTATACAAAGATTTACCACTGAGCAACATTCATCATATCTCTTAAATGCATATTTTTTAAGTCCTTTACAGAAAACAGTCCTCAGTATCTCACAATAAAGGCCAGGAAGAGAGTATTCTTTACAATGTCCAAGTTTGTGAGATTTTTGGCTAGGACAGAAGAAGAAGGCATCACACTAAGAGAGAGAAAATGAGGTATAGCATTTTCATTTCATCACAAGTTAAATAGAAGAGGCTGTTGCCATTGGAAACTGTGACAAATGTTAACCTGAATTTCCTGTGTTACTTTAAAGTTGCTTGGAATTGGCTTTATGTGCATACATATCTGAGGTGTAGACTATATTAGGCACAAATTATGAACCAGATCCAAATAGCGTAGCTTGGGCATCTTTTTATAAAATCAAGTTGCTTTAAGATATAGAATGTGAAACCAAAATTATCATTTTTTCATCTTTGATCTTTCATCAACCAAACAACTATAAAATAGATAATATGGAACTAAATTCACCTTCCTCTCAATGGAAATGAAAAAGTAGACGAGAGATAGGTAAGAGAGATGTGTTTAAAAGTACATAGACCCATGGTAATTTAGGCTAAACTTCACTTTCCAAATATATTTTTCATTTGGTTCTGCACATAAGCTCTCTTACCACCAGGCTCATCTATTCATGGCCCTCAATATTCCTTCTCTAACCCAACCTCTAGTATCTTTCTGCTTCCCTTTCCTATGTATCTCATTCTTCACTGCCCAATATGAGACTTAAATCTTCAACAATCTGTTTGCAGTGAACACTTTTTCCTTTGAAACTTGATAAATGCAAGATTGTCTTACTTTAGACAAGTGACCTGACCTCCTTCTGTGGAAATGAAGGTACATACTAACACCAGCATTTTACAACTATTGTAATAATTAAATGAGATGATTCAAGGACAGATGCCTAGAATATTAACAAGCACACAGTAGCTGCTCAATAAGTGCCAAAGAACTTAGTTTTTACTTTTATAACACTCTCTGATTAGCTCAGTGAAAATACTCATGCACTGACATATATAATAAAACAGAAGCCATTTATTTTATACATTTTTTATCTCTCACAGTTTTTATTTATAACACATAGATGCTCAGCAAATATCTACAGATTGAGAAATGGAATAATTTTGCCTTTTTTGTATGTAGGCTATATCTATCCTTTAATCTTTATTTTTACTGCTAAATTTCAGAAATTGGGTTTCTCATTGCATCCATTTTCTGGGGCTCATCTGGCTCTCAGAAGCACTGAAGATTCAATTGTCCACTGTCATTGCCATGTGCAACAGACACAGCTGCCCCAGACCTGCAGCATGGTCTGACATCCAGGCATATTCCAAATACATCACCAACACATCTTGAAAGCTAATCTTTATTCTGATAGATTTCCTTAGTTGTTCACGTATCCTACCACTCCTGACATTACCAGTCACTGGAAGTCCTAAACTTTTTAACTCTAAGACAATCTGTGGCTTCAGGAATTTTTCCACTCCCTTGTAGTATACTTATGAAAGAATTATCCATTATTTTATGCCATTCACTTAAAAACCTCTTATCTTCATCTTTATCAAAGTAATAGTATATTTTTCAGGAGTATTTTCCCATGACTATTTGAGCAGAGATAAGAAGAAACATCTGACATGGTGATTTTTTTTTACCTCTCAATGAAAATTTTTATCGATATATTACACCTACAATAATCAATCACTTAAGCTTAAAGTCTCTTTTCATCCCTAACTCACTAAAAGGCCTTATCAATTTTATCAGTCCCAAAAGTCAAAATATTTACTTATTTTATGTACATCATCTTTCTCACAAATAAATCATGTTGTCAATTGTTCTCTACTCTATCTAATGATTGGATCAATACATGGCAGGGAAAGTGTGAGCAGGAAGAAATAAGAGCAACTTTGTATGAAGAGAGTTAAAAATAACAAGCAAAAGAAGGAGGGAAGAATTTCTGGAACAATGTCTTTTGTAGGGAAGAAGTCATGAATTGGTTTTAGACAGGAGCAGGGGAAGTTCATATGTAGAAGAAAACAAAAAGGTAGAGCATAGGGATGAAGATAAGAATATTGGTTGGAGATTGTGGATAAGTATCTAACACTTGAACTGTTAGTGGCACACATTAATTACAAAAACAAAATAGTTGTGCATGACTAAGTTGGCTGATAACAGTTGGCAATACAATCTAGGTTACTATTCAATTGTTATAGTCAAAATGATATCACCCTATCGATATCACCCGTTATCAAGGGTGACATCATGACACCTCACTGGGGCCCTTCAAAGCAATCTTATCTTTTCAATCTTGCCCTGAAAATGCTCCTCCCTCAATCTTCCATAAAGGACACTCCTCTCTTCAGCCCATCTTAAATCATGCTTATACAGTTTTCTTGGTTTCTTCCAAAAACTTTTTGATATAAGCTTCTAAAAGATTAAAACACCTTAGTTTTCCATTGTGTGTGTCTGTGTGTGTGTATGTGTGTGTGTGTGTATTCACAGAATATGCACAGCATGCAACTCACTAATTATTAAATAAGTCAACTAATTATTAAATAAGTCAAGTTTACGTAATTCACAGAATCTTCTTTTGCCCCATTGGAAATGCAAAAGGCAGTTGCTGCAGATTATTTTGATTATGGAATATAATTTAAATTGCCAGTCCCATTTACAAATAAGGCTAACACAGCCTCTTCCTTCACGAAAATGAATTTGAACTAAGTTTAGATTTCTAAAAATGAGAGATCTACAATTAAATTTAGTAGGAATTCAGCTTAATGTAATTAAGAGTGTGCATTTTTAAGTAAGACAAACCTAGATTTGAAGTCCAACACCATTATTCACTAATTTATGAGACCAAGCCTCAAGTACCTGTGTATAAAACGAGAATGACGAATGACACTACCTTATAGGGTTATTATAGCTAAATAAGTATATATATATATATATCTTATAATACATAATATTACAGGGTACCTGACATGATCAATACTAGCACCATTTAGCAGCACCCTATATATAGTTTTCTGTTGGAATGTCATATAATTGTGTCCACTTTGACAGCAAAAGCCTATATGCCAAGCTGCAAATTTAACTAATTTCTAGAGAAATGGGAAATTATTATGTAAGACTATTTTCTCTTTTGACGATAAGGAACCTCATTTATAGCAAGACTAACTTAAAACTGCAGACCTCATGGTTTAGGACCTGACAAAGTAAAATGATTGTTGGCCCATTATTGAGTGCATTCCTTTCATGGGCCCCAGCTTTGAAGTAAATGTATGACATTGACTCCAAGCTGAGCTAGGCTCTCATGCTATCAAGTGGAAGAAACATTGACTAGCTACTTCAACTCCATAGATAGAGCACATCTACCCTTAACCTTTGCCTTAGATTGCAGAACTATTACCAAGAGATATATATTCCTAGAAGGGGAGCAGGAATGTTAAGATGAGAAGGAGCACATGTGGTAGAAATAAGACAACCCTACAAATGATAATAACACAAGGCAGAACATATAGCCTATAGAGATTTGGGATCATATCGAACACAGATAACAGGAAAGCTCCTTAAAGAAGGTGAATTTGAGATATGCCCTGAAGTATGTACCCAAGATGCTTCGTATTTTAATACAATCATGGTGGTATAGAAACAGGCCTTGACTCTCAGTATGAATGTATGTCAAGCATATGGCATGGAGTGCATGACAGAGTAGAAGTTTATCTACTGAAGATATCATTTAGCCATGTTCATTGAACTTTATACAGTCCCTAAAATCACTGGAAGGGACGCATAAATAACATTACTCACGGCATCCATGACTTAAGAAATGATAACAATGGGAGTTTTCTTGTTAGACAGTTTATTCTGCATGCTTGTTCATCTTAATGAGCCCTTTGACAGACAAATGCCCTGTAAATTTTGTTTTTGTTTGACAGCTATAAATTAGACACAAGCATTGCTAATATAGTGGAGGAAAAAAATCTCAGACAGCTGAATACTGCCTGTTCATATGTAAGGCATGCAGCTGTTTCACTTTTTAAAATCCAACTCCAATACAAGCCTCAAAAAAAAGAAAGAAAAGAGAAAAGAAAACAATGTTTCATCAAATAAAAGCCTAGAGCTCAAAGACAAAATATTTGAAGACAATGTACAATAAAAGCTTTTTTTCAAGTATAAAAGCTGATTTATGAAATTAAGCTGGAAATATTATAAGTAGGAAATGACCACAAAATAAATAGGAACCTTTTAGAAAGAGAGCAAACATGTGTTATTTATTTTCCTAGTAAACAGAAGTGGCAGATTCAATCAGCAAGAAACATTGGATAGTTACGACCATTTTAATCATGTAAAAAAAATTCATAAGATTTGTTTATGGTGCATTAAACATCATCTTCAGGTTAGTATTAAAGAAAGTGAATAAATTCTATTTATCTGATAAAAAGACCAGAGATAAGAAGGAGCCAGTTCTCTTATGTGACTAGTAATGTAAAGGGACATAGAACATTTCAGCATCTCTGTGGCTACCTCCCTTTACTCTTTATAAACATATGGAAATAATTATACTCAATTGCATAAAAAATATTTAAGACTATAAAACAGTTCCAAAGCATGTACTGTGCCATATTTCATGTGGAGAGAGACTGCCTTTAGTTCCGTTTTGAAAGGCCTAAAAAGTGCAAAGCAATAGTACTTTAAGTATTTATATCTACTTAGATTCTCTAATGTTTAAAGTCATGTTGAAAAATGTTAATTTTAGATGTTAATTATAGAGCTGGAATAAAGCATTGGTTATAAAATAGCTAGCTGAGGTTAAATCTCTACATAATGATCAGTTTTCTGGTACTCCCTGTTATTTAAAATACTACCAAAGAAATACATTACAAAAAATACACTAGCATGTGGCATATCTCTTCATTCGGAATTTTTATGAATGATAAAACTAAACACAAGGAAATCAATATTTATCTGGCCCCAACTCTACTTTATTCCCTAACATGTTACATGGATAAATCTTATATTTTATTTAGAATTAATGATTAAAGACAATTTCATAACATAAAGATATCAAATGTTTCTTGAAGGATAGAGACTCAGTTCTACACAACTCTTAATTTAATGTCATTTTTTGCCTTGAAACTTATCATGGAGTTTTTGAAAGAGGGTTGTACAGACAAAAACATGTTAAGAACCACAAAGATTTGGTAAAATTCTACAGAACTCTCTGTAAGTTAATAGTTTCTCTAAATATGAACCAGTTTACTTCAGGAAGCCAGTGTTCACAATTCCCCAATACACTAATGTCTCCTTGACAAAGCAGACTGAACAGGGTCAACTTACTGGTTAAGAATTCTCCCTGGTGTTATATGCGATACAGTTGTCAAAGAAGGAATTTGATTTCCTTTGCATATGTAGCAGAGTTCGGTCTAATAAGTTCACACTCACCTTATTATTTTTATACCAATATATGAAGAAAGATCTAAAATATCATTGATGCTTTCCAGTTTCTACCCACTGACATTTTTATCTTTTAACCTTTTTTCTTCCTTTCCACCCCAAATTACCCATGTCTCATGCCATACTTCTTATGTGCCAATAATACTTACTTTTGAAATGTAGTCTGTGAGCCTTTAGTCTACCTTTCCCCTAATTGAAAATATAGCTGAGCTACTTTGCAAGCCATTAGAAATTTCTTTGCCCATTTTCTAATGTAACAGCTATAATAGTAGCCTCATTAATAAAATTATTGTAAGACAATCACAAACAAGAAAGGCTTACTATGGCAGCCTTCCATGAATATACATACACACACATACACACACACACACACACGTGCATATATATACATAAAATTTTTATAGGCACTTCAATTTCAGTGCCTAATCTGAAAGTCGCCTGTCACTGGAGCTACACAAAGCCTCGCCCCACTGCTAACAGTACAGAGAATGCCATTGATTTTAAGTCACATCATTATTTTATGAACCACTAAGAAAGAAAAAAATTCTGCTATTTAAACCGTGACATGATGCCTTAATGATAATCCTGTACAACATGAATTAAGAACATCAGCCCCTCATTGCTTTGAAATGATTTCATCTATTCCAAAGAATTTGGCAATCTACCCTACCTTCAGTTGCAGTACTTGGAGTGTGAGAGTAAGCTCGTTGCAAGTATTTTAGGAACAAAATATAACACATCTTCATCTACTTGTGGATATCTTCCTTTTTTAGGTCTCATAAAACCCTTGTTGTTAATTTGCAAGAAAATATGAAATTCTGATTATTTCTACAATGATGCTTTATTAACATCAAATTTATTTTTCATCCAGGGATATAAAGAACTCAAAAGAATGTCATTTCCACCCAAATAATGTAACAGAGCCAAATAAATTCACAATTCTTGAAACCATTGGAAGATGAAATTGCAGGGCAACCAGCTAGCCCAAAATCAAAGAAAAGACAGGTGCCTGTAGGAAGTGATAAGATATATGCAATGGCTTATCTAAGACAGATGCAACTGAAAACCAGTAAAAAGGGTTCAATTGATGTAACTGGCATATTGGTGGAGGCCAAGTTTATTCCAGAGAGAGTGCAAAGTTCCTAAGAGATGAGAAAATTAAGGAGTTCTACATTCTCCTTACAGTTTTTCTCCATGAACCAAGGGCAATCACAAAAAAGATTCAAGGAAGGAAAGTGTTTCTTATGGTACACATCAGCCCCTGCGGGACGAACACAGAGCCCTACCTGCACCCTACTATATCTCTGCTGTGGAACAGAGCCTTAAACTACAGAGGCAAGTGCAAACACACCCTTAACACACCAGTGAAAATCAATTGCAGCTAGAAGAAGAGAACAACAATTTTTAAAATCCTTCCCCTGAGAGAGGGGCAGCATTGCATGCAGAGTCCAGGCCTAGAGCCTGAGGAGGGAAACTACTCAGGAGTTCACACTGCAGGACCCAGAAACATAACACCATGCCAGCCTACGACTAAGTTTAATGTAAACAAGAAATAATGCCTCAGTACCACTCCCTGCTGACAAGCTAACAAGCAGTAGTAAGTAACAACATTGGAATATGACTTGGAGTGGCATAGGAGAGGAACCAATACATGAAAAGAAATTTTCTGAGGTACAGCACAAAGGAAGATCTAGAGTTGATATAGGATCACCCACTAAGTAGAAGAAAAAAAAAATCCTCTAGCAAACCAAACTAACACAAGGTATTTCTGGAGGAATTTGAAGCCAGTGGTGCCCTAAAGGTTACCATAGCAACAATAAACCTAAAACCAAGCTGATACCCTTACTACTTAAGGGTATTAAATTAACTTGAACTTAAATCTCCTACATAATAGTTCTACTCAAAAGAGAGACATTAATTTCCAGGGGTAAAAATTATATAAAATGCTGGACTTTCTTTTCCAAGATGCCTGACTTTCAACAAAAATTACAAAGCATACAAAAAGGAAAGTAAAAACAACACACTCGTAAGAGCCAAAACAGTCATAAAAACCAGACTTAGGTATGACACAGGTGGTGAAATTAAAAGACAGAAAAGTTAAAATAACTTGATTCATATGTTAGAGTCTCTAATGGAAGAGGTGGACAATACACAAGATCAGCTAGGTAATTCCAGGAAAGAGATGAAAACTATAAGAATCAATTGCAAATGCTAGAAATTAAAATATGACAGATATGATTAATGTCTGTTACAGGCTCATTCTTAGACTTATCATATGCAAAGAAGCAATCAGTGAACTTGTTGATATTTTGATGACAGGTCAATAGAAACTACCTAAACCGAACAAACAAACAAACAAACAAAAAGAAAAGAAAAGTTAAAAAATAAAAATAAAACTACAACATACAAAAGCAGTGTAAAAATATCAACATATCAATGGATCTAAGATACATATTCATTAGAATTCATAACTCTAATCCCAAAAAGAAAAGAAAGAAAAACAGAATTTTAAAAAATTTGAGGAAATAATGGCCAAGAATTTTCCAATGTTAATGACAGATACCAAACCACAGATTGAATAAGCTCAAGACTACCCATCAGATAAATACAAATAAATAAACTATGTAGGAATTTTATATTAAAAATACCAAAATCAAAAGCTCAAGAGAAAATTTTGAAGGCAGCCAGAACAAAAAAGACAAATTACCCACAGCAGAACAAAGATAAAAATTACAATAACCAGATCATGCTTATAATCCCAACACTTTGGGAGGCTGAGGCTGGATCACTTGAGCCTAGGTGTTCAAGAGTAGCCTGGGCAATGTAGGAAGATCTCATTTCTACAAACAGATTTAACAATTAGCCAAACATGGTGGTGCACACCTGTGGTCCCAGCTAGTCTGGGGGCTGAGGTTGGAGGATAACTCGGGCCTGGGAGGTTGAGGCTATAGTGAGCCATGATTGCATGACTGCACTCCAGTCTGGATGACAAAGTAAGACCCTGTCTCAAAAATAATGATAATAATAATAAATAATTATGGCAGGTTTATCTTTAGAAATCTTGCAAACTAGTAGATGATAACTACATCTTTAAAATGTAGAGTTTTAAACAACAACAAAAAATGTCAATCAGAATTCTATATCAAACAAAAATATATTTCCAAAAAAGAGTGAAAATTATTTCAGGTAAATAAGTACTGAGAAAATTCAGTGCCAAGAAGACCAACTTTATGACAATTATAAAAAGTAGTTTTTCAGACAGACATATACCATTGTAATTCATTGTATTTTTATGAAGAATACACAACTAAAATATGTGACAATAGTATGACAATAGCAAAAAGAATAAGAGAAAGAAATTGTTAAGTATACTGTTATAAGTTCCTTACAATATACATAAAGCAGTATAATATTTGAAGATAGACTCTGATTCAGTAAGTATGTTTATTATTAACTTCAGGGCAACCATTAATTTTTAACAGAGATATAAACATTATAAGTCAATAAAGAAGATAAAAATCATGAAGATGTTCAGTTAAATCAAGTTTTCTTTTTTTAGAAAAGGAAATAAGAAACAAAGAATAGATGGGGAAAATAGAAAATAGCTAGAAAATAGCTAGCAAGGTAATTGTTTTAATTCAATTATATCAATAATCACATTATATGTGAATGGATTAAACTACCAGTTTAAAGATAGAGATTACTGTCAGATTAAATAAAAATGTAAGACCCAACTAAATGCTGACTACAAGAAATCTATTTTAAATGTAAAGATAGGCTAGCAGTAAAAGAATAGAAATATATACGTATACATATATATATATACATATATATATATAAAATGAGTGCAAATACTAATAAAAGAAAGCTGGAGTAATCATATTAATATCAAATAAAATGACTTCAGAATAAGAAAATTATGAGAGACAAAAATGGACATTACATAATGACAAAGCAGTCAATTCTCTGAGAAGTCATATTAATCCTACATGAGTATGCACATAATGATAGAGCTCTAAAATATGTGAAGAAAAGACTTATAGAACTTAAAGGAGAAATAGACAAATTCCGAATTAAGACTTCAACAATTCTCTTTAATTCTCTTTAAGCAATTGGCAGAACAAATAAAAAGAGAATCAGTCAGTTTATAGATGATTTGGACAACACTGTCAACCAATTTGGTCTGATTGATAATTACAGAATACTCTACCTAAAAACATCAAAATATACATCTATTTAAGTGAACATTAAACAATAAGTAAGATAACCCACATTCTGGGCCAAAAGTAAAATACTTAAAAATTTTAAAAGAATAGAAACCTTACAAAGTATGTTCTTGGGCTGCAATATAATTAAACTAAAAATCATTAAAAGAAAAAGGAAGTGAAAATTTTCCAAATATTTGATGATGAAACTACATACTTCTAGATAAACCATGGATCAAAAATAAAATGCATAGTGTAAAGTACTCATCTTAGGAAAATGGGGGTTTCAAATCAGTATCTATTCTAAGAAACTAGAAAAAGAAGAGCAAATTAAATTCAAATCAGAAGACAGGAAATAATAAAGGTAAAAATCAAAATTTAAGAAAATGAAAATAGACAAAAATCAATGAAACCAAACACTGATTCTTTGAAATAAATAAATATTAAATTTATACCAGCTTCTGTTCATTGCTAAATACACAATAATTTCGCATTGCAACACTAAATCATACTCTTTTAGAAGCTATTTTAAGTGGTGACTAAATATATATAGTTTCAACAATGCACATAACTCAATCAAAACAGATTCACAGATAGTTCAGAAAAAGGAGTTATCAGATGGGGGGACTTAAATGGCTATGATTAATATATTAAAAAAATTAAAATATGTATAATATAGATGAAAACATGGAGAATTTAAACAGAAAATTGCAAAGTTAAATGAAAATTCTAGAACTGAACAATATAAAATCTGAAATGTGGAACTCATTGAGTTTAACAGCACACAACAGAAGACTGAAGTAAGCTCAAAGACAAGCAAATAAAATATTATTTTTAAGAAGAACATAATTTAGGTAACACATAGGATACAAACTTTAACCTTCATTTATTCATTTCCTGGAGAGGGAGAGATTGAGATACAAGCAATATTTAAAGAGATAATGGCAAAGATGTGGATCAACTGGAATTCTCAGGCATTGCAGGAAGGATTATACATCAGCACAACCCCTTTGGAAAAACTGTGTGGCAGTAGTTACCAAAACTAAACAAGTACGTATTCCATAGCCTAACAATTCCATTCCTGGTTATATACTCCAAAATGAGTGCTTATGCTCACCAAAAGCTTGTTGCAAGATGTATTATAAAGGCTTTATTCAAAATAACTTAAAAGTAAGAACAATTCAATTGTCCATTAACAAGAAAATGGATAAATTGATATATGTACAATGCAATACATCACACTGGTAAAAGAGAAAATACATAAAAAAATGTATCTTAAAACTATGATGTTCAGCCAAAGAAGCCAGACACACAAAATTTCATATTGCATGATTCCATTAATATAAAGTTCAATAATGGTTACCTTTGCTAGGAGTATTAACTGGGAGAAACACAAAAAAGCTTCTTAGTGCTAGAAATGTTCTATATCTTAATCCAGATGTTGGCTACACTAGCTATATCTATAGTTATCTATCTAGCTAGCATGTCAGATTCATATACTTAATGTATGCAAGTTATGTTTCAATTACAGTTTTTAAATATATTGTTAAGATATTTTTATTTTGTTCCTGGTTTCAGTAAAGTTCAGTCAAGAGACAGAAACCACACCAGTTTTTGTGCATAGAAAATTTAGTATAAAGAATTGACAAAGGTACAAAGTTGTTAACTATGTAATTGAAAGAATAAAAAGAGGACCGTATGGTATCTCAGAAATAGCAACTGTAGAAAGCCACTATCAGCCTAGGGACTGGGGAACAAAAATTTAAAGGTTGAGATTATTAAAATCTTAGAGGAAGGACCCTGTGGGGCTCAAATGCAGACATCTGTTGAGGAGTGCTGTTTAGCTGGGGTGTCTCTGCATTGGGACATCCAAAAGCTGGTTCTGTACGTGTTGGAAAAGTTGCAAACTGGATTTGGATGTTATTAGAGCAGGAAGCTCACAAGAAAATAGAAAGTGCCTTCCCTCCCCTTCAGCTTCCCAGTCTTCCTGTAGCACCCTCTATAGGCAGAATCTTACAGGGCAAAGTTGGGTATAGAACTGAGAGACAGTAATTTCAGTAATGAGCACACCTTATTTTTAATTTTTGTTAAAACATAGACAACTTTTTGTTTAGGGATAAAATTTTCCATTTTTATGCCTTTATGGAAAAATTTAAAAGCAAGTAAAAATTGTGGGATGGTCTATGTGCTAGCGGCCATAAACACAACAAATCTGGATTTTCTCTCATATCAATCAACAAGACTAACATTTCTGAAGAACAAAATAAAATAATTTGTTTTTGTTTTAAATATGATTTATTTTCTCTTTCTCTGCTGCCCCTATTGGTCTGTGTCCTTGTTACCACAGATTTTACTTCTTTGTCTTCCCACTGCACTGTAGGTACTCTATGGGAATGGGCTTTTATCTGTTAGTCCTCAGAATCTACCACAGTATCAGGAATGATGTAGATCCTCAAGAAACATCCCCAATACATACTATATTCTTTGTCTTTGTATAAAACAGTGTATTTTTACTTAAAATATTATCACTGCTGTTCTTTCTCACCAAACTACTCACCATTTAAACTATCTTACCATTTAAACTACTAATGCATTAAAAAATCATTCATTGACAATTGTGACGTGAGATCAGTTTGCCTATTTAAAGTACTTTGATACTAAGGTATAGGTTTAGACATAATGAATTTTCAAAGTATGCAGTTCCTACAGATCATCTTGTTCAACCAAGACCTCACTTACTGATAAAGAAACTGAATTCCTGGAAGGCTCCATAGTTGACCCATCATCATACAATTTGAATCCGGATTTGCTGTTCCCTATAGCCCACTATTCCTCTATTATTTAATGATTTGCAATTGATACCAGCCTTTGAAAAATATCTAGAAAATAAATAAGCAATTGATCATGGCCAGAAAACTCTCCCCTATTTGAAGTTCTACAGTGTCCTGAAGCTTGCTACATAGTAATGACTTGATGTTACTCTATTTTATACCTCACCTGTTACACAATACTAGTTAACATTATTGACTGCTTAATAAGTGTCAAAACTCATCTAAGGATAGATAGATAGATAGATAGATAGATAGATAGATAGATAGATATAGATATAGATATAATTTTCATGGCCATCCACCATCAATAGGTATTCCAATTTTACAGATTAAAAAAAGGAAGGATAAAAAGATGATTAAGTAAATTGATAAAGATCACACAGCTCTTAAGGTCTGCAACCAGAACTCTAGCCTATATGATTTTCCTCCAGAGCCTATGTTTTACCAAGACAATATACTGACTCTGAAAATTCTCTCATTTTCTCAGATTATTTTATTCCTTTTGAAAACTTACTTTGAATTTCACTTCAACTTTTCACATATATGCCTCCCCTCTACTGAAAAGTATTGAAAAATTTAAAATATAAATTCACTATGTATTTGCAATAAATTGTAGACTTCACCATAGTCTTGTAGAAAAATTAGCCACTGTATCAGTCACCTATTGCTACAATAATGCTGTGTAACAAACTATCCTAAGCATTATGGCTTAAAACAACAATCATTCATTATTTTTCACAAAGCTATGGCTCTGCTCAGAAGTTCTGCTGATCAAGACTTAGTTTAATAAATCTAGGCTGTGCTCACTTTTGTGTCTAGTCAGCTGAGGGTGGACTGGCATTGGCTGGTCTGGTATGGCCTCAGCTAGGACAACCCTGACCTCTTCTACCATCTAACATCCCTCCAGCAGGCTAGTCTAAGTGTGTTCTCTTGGTAATGACAAATGTCCAAGTGAATACATGGAAATCCACAAGGAATTTTCAAGCCACTTATGTCAAATTGTCTCGCTGGCCAAAGAAAATTCTGTGGCCAAGTTTTAGATAAGTGTGGGACAGTGATTATGTGGATTGGATATTTGTCCCCTCCAAATCTTACGCTGATATGTGATTCCCAATGTTGAAGGTGGGGCCTGTTGGGGGTGATTAGATCATGGGGGCAGATCCCTCATGAATGGTTTAACATTAGCCCCTCAGAGATAAGTGAGTTCTTGCTCAGTTAGTTCACATGAGAACTGGTTGCTTAATAGAGTCTGGAACTTCCCTCTTCTTTCTCTTGCTCCCTGTTCCACCATGTGATGTGCCTGCTCCCACTTTGCCTCCTTCCACCATGAGTAAAAGTTCCCTGAGGCCTCACTAGAAGCTGAGCAAATAACAGCACCAGGCTTCCTTTACAGCCTGCAGAACTGTGAGCCAATTAAACCTTTTTTCATTATAAATTGCCCAGCCTCAGATATTCCCTTATAGGGATACAAAATGGACTAACAGTGATGACAAAGGGCATGGCTATAGAAAGATGTGGAAAATTAGGGTCATCAAATCAATTGATCAACTGCATATATATTTCCCATTTTCTCTGGATTCTATCTTCAAACCTATTACAAGAAATCCTTTATTTGAGTAACGTGTAAGATGCTTACATCTCAAAGCTTACACCTTTCCCTTGAGGAATCTTGGAACTCAAGTGGTGTATCCTTAAGGGAATTGTCAAACGTCTCCTCAGTAATGAAGATTAATGCTTTATAAGGCTTGCTGTAATACATAATCACTTTAAATTTCTTCCACATATAGTAATATTTAACTCGGCTTTATTTTGTGATAAAGTAAATGAGCTAAAATAAATGAAAGGCAATGTCTGCAAATATTAATGTTAATTTGAATCATTGTGAATTAACACCTTCTGCAGAACAGTCTGTACATGGTAAGTTCATTTGGTTGGTGAATGGAGCTAATACAGATAGAATTATGCATTTAATTCTTATTTATTTTGCCTCATGGCCAGAGAAACAGTTCCTCATTCTAAATATTCATTATATTAATTAATAGAAAGAACAGACAAACAAGTCTCAATTAACTGATTGGTGGATTATTCCACTTAGGCAGGAAATATTTAACAAGTCTTTGCCATGTCCTTAGTTCTGGGAATGCAAAGAGGCTTAAGGCTTGGTCTCTACCCATTTCCCCCTTGAAGGAGAGAAGGTGGTGCATGGTGAGTTCTGCAGATGCCTTCTGTGGTCAGGTGTGAGAAGTTAGACCAGTGACCTCAAGTTGGTCTCCTGTAGCAACAACTTGGGCAGAGCCAATTGAGAAGAGTCCAAGCAGTTGCCAGGATGAGGTCTAGGTTGAGAAGTTTTGTTTCGTATTAGCCTCTGATTCATAGGTGAAGTAGACCAATGACAAAGCCAAATTAGGTCAAACGGACCTACTCATCCAAAACTTTTAGTGCAGAGTCCTGTAAATGGCCAGGTGCTCTAACGGTGATCTGAACAACATGCTATGAGAATGCTGAGGAAATAGGAGCAAAAATAAAAGACAAAAAATAATAATTGAAAGTTCAATTCCAACTAACAAGACCTAGGGGCCTAGGAGGTATTAAATCTGCATATGCATAAGGCAATGAGCTATGTCACTAGGAATTTAAAGCTGGGAAAACTCATTTAAGTCCCTGTCTTCAAAAGCAAGAATAAGAAGCCAGGTGCGATGGCTCATGCCTGTAATCCCAGCACTTTCAGAGGACTAGGCAGGCGGATCACCTGAGGTCAAGAGTTCAAGACCAGCCTGGCCAACATGGTGAAGCCCCATCTCTATTAAAAATACCAAAATTAGATTGGCCTGGTGGTGCTTGCCTGTAGTCCCAGCTATCGGGAAGCTGACACAGGAGAATCACTTGAACCCGGGAGGCGGAGGTTACAGTGAGCCAAGATCGCGCCAACGCACTCCAGCCTGGGTGACAGAATGAGACTCTATCTCAAAGAAAAAAAGAAAAAAAGCAAGAATAAGAAAAGTAGGAAAATGTGTGTTAAACAAACAAATGAATGTCAATAATAGAAAGGGCTTTATGGTTTTAGGGAGGTGGCTCATTCACTTGAGAGGATTAAAAGGGGGGAAACTTCATAGAATTATGGTTTTTGAAACAGAAATGGAGGATAGTCTGGAGAAAGTCTAGGTAAAGAGAAGAATGTAGCAACAAAGGAAATGTGCTGATTCTCTTTTGGAGCACAGTCAAGAGTCTTGTAATTGGATGAGTTGTTTCCCCCATAAGACAGCCATGACATGGATCCAAGGACACAAGTAACCCTTTGTTGCTTATTTATTTTTGTATGCAAGTGTGTTTCAGTAACAATAGGCATTTGAAGTGATGGTCACAGTAAGGAAATTGGCCCACCTTTTATGCCTGTCTACTATTGAGAAATGTCAAATCTGACTAAGAAAAATCACTTTTTAAAAATTGCTCTGGTTGAAAGCTCAAAAATCACATTAAATCTTAATATAAAATCTTTCGGTCAAGTTACGTTTTTGAAATAGGAACACATTATGAAAATGCTGACATAGTTTTAACCATAAAAATGTTGACTTTTATAGTACCTATACTATTATCTATTTTATAAATGCATTTGGAATTTTCATATAATGTTGATACATTTCATCAAAGCAATACATATGTATTTGGTCAGTGTGAATTTTATGTGACTATGAATCACAGGAACAACTATATAATAACAAGCTAAATGTAAGTCAGTTTATCAGAGCAAAAGAAGTCTAGTGATTTAAAACACCTTAATATATTTTACTCTTTAAAATCAGAAAATATGGGCTCAACAACTAAAAGAATACCTGAGACCAAAAGGAAAGGGCAAAGTTTCTGTTTAAGTAGCTTCAATTACATTATAATTATACAATTGTCCTAGATATTTTGAAGCTTACATTTTGGTTAATAACATTAATTATGTTGCATTTGTGTGTTGGGCTAATTACATGACTACTATTTATAAACCACGAAGGCTATTTTCAATACATATCCACTTCCCATTTACTTTATTTGTTTTACATGTTGCACTGTGTTTCAAATGCACCCTTCAAATCAGAAAAATAAATTTGTTCTACATTGAGCTATAGCTTCATTTTATAACCATAATCAGATATGATCACAAATAACAAGCATTGGATTTAAATAATTCAAAGGCAGAGAGCCTCAAAATATTTGGAGATTTTCATTCTCAACTGCAAGGCCTGTTCATGTCCCATAATCATGCCACCATTGAGCCTTGGGAAATGTTCTTCCCATTCTGGAACCACTCTGGGCATCAGGAAGTAACAGCTTTACCCCTCCCAACCCCTAAAGTTTTCTGTACTTGCTGCACCATGGTATGTTACAGGAAACTCTGAGAGGCAGAGCTGTACCACATAGGCACACTCCTGCTTCATCGTCATTACGGTGCAGTAAAACCGGTGTCCTCTTTGTTCCCCAGACCTCACCTGGGCAAGGAGAAGCTGACTCCATCTGACGTCATATTCTATTTTTACCCTGGCTCGATAACGCTCAGGCTTCTTTCTCTGAATTTTTGAGACAATGGAAATAAAAGTCTTGCCAAGATAGAGATGTGTTAGAGAATGGAAACAAACACCAGGAAAAAACACATGAGTTAGTGCACCAAAAATATGTTTGTGGAATCATGAATAAAATAATGTGGTTGCTCTCCTTTATATAATCACAATGCATGCTATGAGGACAGTCACTCTATTAATATTTACTCAATTCTTGCTTCAGAACACCGCATTCAACATTCTTGATATTTCTGATTTTGATTTTGAACTTGTGCCACATCCCTACAGCTGAGAAGCAGGATCTCATCTAAATGTTACCAGGAGTAACACCGCTTCTGGTGTCAGGTGGTGGAAAGGACACTATATCTTGGACCAGAGGCCAAGCCTGGGAGAAAGAGCTGGAACCCCAAAGGCAGAATGAGGTAGAAGTAGGTGTTGGGATTGGATGTTGAGTGAATGGGGGTCCCTGGTGGGCTTTTTTCCAATCCTAAATTTTCATGTGGTTGGATAGGAGCCAGTTAGCCATGGAAGAATAAGAAAGACAACTTTGCAGACTCCTTATATGTGCTTTTTTGACCCTCTTAAGTATTTAATAAAGCCATCTGGGGGTATGAGGTACCTCAGCTACAAGGAAAGAATTTTAACCCCAGTTAGATCATAATCTACATAGAAGAAACATACCACACCCCTTAAAACCAGCATGGAGTCAACACTGCAAGAAGTCCAAGAACTCAACAGGCTCAGAATTGTCTTTATTTCAACTGGAATTTCTCCCTCCAAGGCAAATCTAGGAGCAGCATTTCCACAGCCAGGCCTCCTTTTCATAAATGTAAATACTATATGAACATGCACACACACGCGCGTGCACACACACTCACACACACAAACACACACACACACACACACGTTGCCTGTACTCAATCTCCAATACTGTGACCTGTCCAGTGTGGCCTACCCCACTGAAGACACATCACGCCATTACCACCACCCAAGAAAATTTGTCAAACTTCACCTTCTATAATTTTCATCTTTTTTACTTTCTAAATATAAAATTATGTTACAACACAAAATATGCCTTTTTTTTTTTTCTTTTTAGAGGGTCTCATTCTGTTGCTCAGGCTGGAGTGCAGTGGCACAATCTCAGCTCACTACAGCCTCTGCCTCCCGGGTTCAAGCAATTCTCCTGCCTCAACCTCCCAAGTAGCTGGGATTACAAGCACCCATCACCACACCTGGCCAAGTTTTGTATTTTTAGTGGAGACGGGGTTTCACCATATTGGCCAGGCTGGTCTCAAACTCCTGACCTCAACTGATCTGCCCACCTCAGGCATTCAAAGTGCTAGGATTACAAGCATGAGGCACCACGCCCAGCCAGAATATGACTTTTTAATACCACAAATACTTGTCCATCTACCACCTGTTAAAAGTTGTTGCTTTAGATTGAAGCCTTTAATCCACCTTGAGTTTATTTTTATATAAGATATAAGGAATATGTCCAGTTTCAATCTACTCCATATGGCTAACCAGTTATCCCAGCACCATTTTTGAATAGGGAGTTCTTTCCCATTGCTTGTTTTTATCAGCTTTGTCAGAAATCAGATGGTCATAGATGTGTGGCCTTATTTCTGGGCTCTCTATTCTGTTCCATTGATCTATGTGTCTGTTTCTGTACCAATACTAGGCTGTTTTGGTTAGTGTAGCCCTGTAGTATAGTTTGAAGTTGAATAATGTAAAGCCTCCGGCTTTGTTCTTTTTTGCTTAGAATTGCCTTGGCTATTTGGGCTCTTGTTAAGTTCCATATAAATTATAAAATAGTTTTTTCTAGCTTGGTAAAGAATGTTATCGGTAGTTTGATAGGAATAGCATTGAATCTATAAATTTCTTTGGGCAGTATGGCAATTTTAATGATATTGATTCTTTCTATCCATAAGCATGGGGTGTTTTCCATTTGTTTGTGTCTTAAATGTAAAACCCAAAACTATAAAAACTCTGGAAGACAACCTAAGCAATACCATCCTGGACATAAGAACAAGCAAAGATTTCATGACAAAGATGCAAAAAGCAATTATATTAAAAGCAAAAATTGACAAATTTGATCTAATTAAACTAAAGAGCTTCTGCACAGCAAAAGAAACTATCAAAAAAGAAAACAGACAACCTACAGAATGGGGGAAAAATTCTGCAAATTATGCATCTTACAGAGGTTTAATATCCAGCATCTATAAGGAACTTAAACGAATTTACAAGAAAACAACAAACAATTCCATTAAAAAGTGAGCAAAGAACATGAACAGACACTTTTCCAAAGCATACATACATGCAGCCAACAAGATTATGGAAAAAGCTCAATATCACTGATCACTAGAGAAATATAAATCAAAACCACAATGAGATACTATCTCACACCAGTCAGAATGACTACTCTTAAAAAGTAAAAAAAAAACAGATGCTAGCGAGGTTGAGGAGAAAGGGGAACACTTATACACTGTTGGTGGGAATGTAAATTAGTTCAGCCATTGTGGAAAGCAGTATGGCAATTCCTCAAAGAGCTAAAAACAGAACTACCATCTGACCCAGCAATCCCATTCCTGGATATATATCCAGATAAATAAAAATCATTTTACCATAAAGACACATGAATGAAAATGTTCACTGCAGCACTATTCACAATAGCAAAGACACGAAATCAACCTAAATGCCCATCAATGACAGACTGGATAAAGAAAATGTGGTACAAATACACAATGGAATACTATGCAGCTATTAAAAATAATGAGATCATGTCTTTTAAGGGAAAATGGGTGGAGTTGGAGCCCATTATCCTTAGTAAACTAATTCAGAAACAGAAAACCAAATACTGCATGCTCTCACTTATAAGTGGGAGCTAAATTATCAGAACTCATGAACACGAAGAAGGGAACAACAGACACTGGAGCCTACTGAGGATGGAAGATGGGAGGAGGGAGAGAAGCAGAAAAAAAAAAGATTGGGACCAGGTTTAGTACCTGTGTGACAAAATAATCTATAAAGCAAACCTCTGTAACATGAATTTACCTATATAACAAAACTGCACATGTACCCCTGAACCTAAAATAAAAGTTAAAAAAAAAATGAAATTTGCTTCTATAGGGGTTCTGAGTTTTACCTTATTAAGGGTTCTTTTAATACCCAACAATTCTGTTGTATGTCAGACAGTGGGGACATAAAGTTAAACAAAACTTGGTAAAACTTGGTAACTACTTTGAAGGAGCTCAGAGTAGACTGGTAGAGAGAGAAATGTAAACAAATCATAAGGATTCCCTAACAGAAACTATGGCAGAATGAAGAAGGAAACAATTAACTTTGAGAAACTGGAGAAGCCACCTTAAGAAGGGGCATTTAATCTCTGTTTTATTTATTTATTTATTTATTTATTTATTTATTTATTTATGAGACGGAGTCTCCCTCTGTCGCCCAGGCTGGAGTGCAGTGGCGCGATCTCGGCTCACTGCAAGCTCCGCCTCCCGAGTTCACGCCTTTCTCCTGCCTCAGGCTCCCAAGTAGCTGGGACTACAGGCGCCTGCCACCACATCCGGCTAATTTTGTTTTTGTATTTTTAGTAGAGACGGGGTTTCACCGTGTTAGCCAGGATGGTCTTGATCTCCTGACCTCGTGATCCGCCCGCCTCGGCCTCCCAAAGTGCTGGGATTACAGGCATGAGCCACCGCGCCCGGCTGTTTTTGATTTAAGTGATTTTCTGATTACAAAACCATTTGCTAAAAATATAAAAAAGCAAAAAAAAATGCCACCCAGAAATATCCATTGAAAATATTTTGTTGTATCTTAGCATATAATCTATTTTTGAGAAAGGAATTTGGCATATGTGTTTTATAACTTACTTTTCTGTAAAAATAAACTATGGATCAATTTGAAGAAGGTATCCCTTGAATATTCTGCTCAGTGTGGATCCGCACCTGTGTTTGAGGAAACTACATGAGCATATGGAAAGAACTACCAGAAAGGATTAGAGAAACAGTGTCCAGACCCCTGCAAGACTAAGAACAGTATCTGTTCCTAACAGCCATCTCTGAGAATCTCATGGTTCATGGAAATTCGACAGAGAGTACAAAAGGATTCTGCCTCAGTAGTAACAATCAGTAACAGACTGAGCACTGGTCAGGTCCTACCTAACAAGCCTTAAAAGCAAGAACCAGACCCAAAAGAATCAAGCTGTTTCCAGATAATATATGTATACCAGAAGAAAGCTTAAGAATGTCTGAAGAAATATGAAAATATTCAGCACCCGTAAGGCAAAATTCACACCGTTTGGTATCCAATAAAAAATTAGCAGTCAAGAAAAGAAGCAGAAGAGCTGAAACCATGATGAGAAAAATAATCTATCCATCAAAAGCGCCCAAGAACTGACACAGAAGCAAAGATAGTAAATCATTTATTATAACTATATTCCATAGGTTCAAAAAGTTATGTAGCGATATAGAAGATATAAAAAGACACAAATCAAACATGCAGAGGAAGCTACTATAATGTATGAAATTAAAAATTCACTAGATGGGATCAACAGCAGACTAGACATTGCAGAAAAGGTTAGTGAACTTGAAGACATAGTATTGGAACCTATATAAAATAAAAATTTTTAAAAAAAGAATATCAGTAAGCTGGAGAGAGAGAGAAAGGTGAAGACAGGAAGAATATTTGAAGAAATAATGGTAGAAATTTTTCCAAATTTGATGAAAATTATAAACCCATAAATCCAATTCAATGAAACTCAAGCACAAAAAAAAAGAAAAAAGCTACACAAAGGCATAGCATAATCAAATTGTTCACAACTTGTGATAAAGAGAAAATATTAAATTTGGCATCCAATAATAAATCACTGGTCAAGAAAAGAGAAAAAACAATTATTATACTAAGAAAATAAATAATATAGCAAATTTTATGTCAGAAACAAGGCAAGTGACAAGACAGTAGAACAACCTCTTTAAAATTATTAAAATAAAAAAGTCAACTTAGAATTCTATACCCAGTGAACGTATCTTTCAAAAATGAGGGTGAGGCCAGGCATGGTGGCTCACGCCTGTAATCCTAGCACTTTGGGAGGCCGAGGCAGGTGGATCACTTGAGGGCAGGAGTGTGAGACCAGCCTGGCCAACATGGTGAAACCTCATCTCTACTAAAAATATAAAAATTAGCTGGGCGTGGTAGTGGGCACCTGAAATCCCAACTACTCAGGAGGCTGAGGCAGGAGAATTGCTTCAACCCAGGAGACAGAGGTTGCAGTAAGCCGACACGGTGCCACTGCACTCCAGCCTGGGTGACAGAGTGAGATTCTGTCTCAAAAAATAAAAATAAAAAATAAAAAAATAAGGTAAAATAAAGACTTTTTCAGATGTATAAAAGCCGAAAGAATTCATCATCCATGAACCTATCCAATAAGAACTATTAAAGGAAATATTTCAAATAAAAGGGAAAAATACCAGATAGAATATAAATATAGACAAAGGTATAGAGCACTAGAAATTTTAACTACAGAGGTAAATATATAAACATCTTTAAAAGACAATAGACTCTTTAAATGAAAGCAGTAAGAATGTGGTTTATAACATATGTAAAAGTTAAATATGTGACAATAGCACAAAGGTCAGGAGGAGAGAAATGGAAAAGTACTATTATAAGTATTGTGAGCTATACATGAAACGGTATAGCATCACTTAAAAGTAGATGTGATGCTAAACATAAATACCACAAAGCTCAAAGAAACCATCAAAATAATAAAAGAAATAGTTATGTCTAATTAGTTACTTATGAGATGAAAATCAAATAAAAAAGAATTAAAATAATCTAAATGAAAACAGAAAACAGGAAAGGGAAAATAGAAGAGAAGCGACAAATAGAAAACAAATTACAAGATCATAGACTCAAACCTCATAATCACCTTAAATATGAATGTAAACATTAATACTCCATTAAAAAGCAGAGGCCTTCAGATTGGATTTTTTTTTAAAAAAAAGAAGCAATTATATGCTGCCCACAAGAAATACGCTTCAAATATGAAGACACAAACAGGTTAACAATTAAAATAGGGGTAAAGAAAAATCACATGTACAATAAACAAAAGAAAGCTGGAGTGTCTGACATAATATCAGTTAAAGCATATATCTGAATAAAGGATATTACCAAGGACAAAAAGAAGATCATTTCATAATAAAAAAGAAGTCACTTCATCAAAATAACCTAACAGTCCTAAACATTTATGCACCTAATATCAGAGCTTCAAAATACCTGAAGTAAAAACTGATAGAACTGAAAACAGTATAAATAGATAAAGGCCACAATTATAGTCAGATACTTTAATACTCCTTCTCAATAATTGATACAAGTAGATAGAAAGTTGTTATGAATAGAGAAGATGGAAATAGCACAATAACTAATTTGACCTTATTGACTTATAAAGAACACTCTACCTAACAGCAGCAGAATACACATTCTTCTCAAGTGCACACAGAACATTTATTAAGGTAGATCATACTCTGGGAATAAAGAAGCCTCAATAAACTTAAATCATTCAAATTATACAAAGTATGTTCTCTGACCACGATGGATTTAAATTAAAAATCAGCAATAGAAAGCTATCTAGAAAAACCTCAAATATTTGGAAACTAAATAATATACTTCTTTATAACCCATGGGTCAAAACCAAAATAAAAAAGGAAAATTATAAAATATTATGAATGAAAACAGCAACACAGCATATCAAAATTAATGGGAAATGACTAAAGAAGTTTAGGGAGAAATTTGTAGCATTAATTAAATATATATATTCCTTTCTGTAGAAAGTTGGAGACTCAGAGGTCTTTTTACATTTCAAACAGCCAGTCTCTTTTCTGTTCCAAGCTTGTGGTGATGTTGCTTATAGATCTCTCTTAAAACCTTTGTGGATTTTTACATATATGATTTCTATCAACTGCATGTACCAAAGCCACACCCATGATTCTTTTTAAGCCATATTCTGTATTTATGGGCTCTTGGAATGAGTCAAACATTTCTGGGATCATTTCTTGGGCTCTGATGGACCCCTTTTGTCCTGTGAGAAATCTACTAGATATCATTCTAATCCTTTTGGCAAGCTTAACAGAGGGTGTTTCAGCTGCACTCTTGGCTTGATCATGTCTAACTGGCCATGTCTTTCTGGCAGCACCCCAGATTTAGTCTTCAACTAGTGATTGTGTTAAAATACCCAATTTTGTTATAATTGATTTGGTGAGAAACAATTTTCTATTTTAAATTTGCAATTTCTTGGCTCTTTACATTCCCTCTAAATTCTGCATGTAAATTGACCAGTCCTTTTCTAAGCTCATTTCTTTCTTGTGGTATTTTATCAAATTCAGTTCAAAACAGCCAGTTGATATCTTCAACACTTCTCCTGATACCTCCTAACCAAACTTTGCAGGTTCATTAGATACATTTTCTTTATATGACAGACAATAGTTTTACCAAAATACTTGCCACTGCAAAATATGGATTGCTACTTTTCCGTTTTATTAAGGTTTCCACATCATTCCTCCACCTAGACCTAAATCAAATGCCATATATTTCAGTGTTTTTATGACAGTACCCCACCTCTTGGTATCAGTTTCTGTATCAGCCACCTTTTTTGAATGAAAGATACTGCAACATTTTAGTGGCACTTAGCAACTTAAGTTATTTCTTGACTGTGCATCTGCAGGTGGCTGGGCAGCCCTGCTTCAAGAAGCGGGTGTATATGTTAGTTTGGGTGACTCTGCCCCACATGACTTACTCTGGTATCCAGGGAATGTCATCCTCATGGCTGTATCAGAAGCACAAGAAAGCAAGCCCAACTGCATCAGTACAATTCAAGCCTCTGCTCACATTGTACCCTTAACGTCCCAGTGGCCAAAGCAAGTCACAGGACAAAGTTCAAGCTCGAGGGGTGAGAAAGTATATTTCACCCACTTTGAGGCCTAGACCAAAGGGATATATGGTATTATTACAGTGGAGTGAAGCTTTAGGGCCAACAATTTCATTAGTTGTAAGGAGAGGAGGGAAAAGAGAGTAGAAGGAAAGAAGTAGAAGAGGTTGTCTGGAGGGAGAGACTAGAGACAGAGAAGGGGAAGGAGAGAAAGGATATGAGGGAAAGGGAACAAGCTTTCTATTAACGCCTCTGTTCAATGCTAGCTCTTTTTCTTGTCCCCCCTTTACCTGCTGTATCTGATCCTGGAACCTCTTGGGTTGTGGTGAGATCATAGGCCTTTTTCTCTGCTTAAAAGCCTCTTCTATATGTTCTGCATTGCTTCTTGTTCAAACGATATGATATGCCAGGAGATTTCCAAAGTCTTTCCATATTCCACCCCTCCGTGCTATTTAACCAGGGAAGACCAGGAGGCAGTTACACCTGAACTGACTTATATAAGAGTGCCAGAATTGAAGGAGGCAAAGAAAATTACTGGAAGATAGGTAGATAAGGAGCAGATCATGAAGTACTTTGAAAAACATCTAATAAGAATTTATATTTTACTCTGTATGTAGGCAAGGCCATTGAAAGGATAAGACCACAGATTTATAGGACATTTGTATTTTAGAAAAATAGTCCTGAAGATATCTAATTAAACATGGCAGGATAAAACCAGAAATTTACCTTAGTTCCTTCCCAAAGCTCTACTGAAAGAAATGAAACTTCTATAATCACAGAAGATCAAAACAACTGGAGAGGCAATGATAGATACTACAAAAGATGGAAAGAAGTTCATCAAGTGGTTGCTGGCTTAAAAAAAAAAAAAAAAGGAAAGGGATTAAAGGGACAAAGAAGGAGAATCAACAAAATGAAAAAGGACCAGCACTACAGAGCCTGGAAAGGACGTTAAGGAAAGCAGCCAGGTACTTCTAGGAATAGGAATGGAGGCTGCAAACAAAAATGGGAGGATTGGTGGAAACTAGGAAGAGAGATCCCCATTCACCATCTCATTGAAAGCCAGGAAAACAACTCTCAAACAAACCAACCAACCAAACAAACAAACCAACAAAAAACCCAAGCATCTTGCACCCAGGAGAGAGAAGATCAACTCCCTGGAAAAAAAGAAAAGACAACTCCTATCCTGGAGACACTAGGCATGCAGAAGGCTACAGGGAGGCAACACACTAAAATAAAGGAGATTGAATAAAAACCTGTTTTCTAAACCCTGGCTTATATCTTCTAAGCATCAGTTTGAAAGGTTAGAGAAACCAAGACTATTTAGAGAACACAAAAACTCAAGAAAAAAAAAGATGCACTCAGAGTCTCAAATTTGGCAGAAGTCAAGAAAGAAAATTTAAGAATATCCTTGGAATGTGAGAGTGAGAAAGCCATTTGCACCTTAAAAATAAAAAGAAAGGAAAAGAAAGATAAAGAAACTGGGTTTTGGGGACAATATTTTAACCCTAAGGAATTTCTAATATGGCATGTCTATCACTGTGACTCACGGGCTGCAAAAAAAATGTGAGCAAGAAGACATTCCTGGAATCGTCCCATCATGTAACACAGATGACCACCCACTCTACATATGTGAAAAACAAGTCATAGGCAGGAATTCTAGTGAGCCAAACTTTTTTAAATTTAATCTTTAAACAACCTTGAAATTGATAGCCTAAAATTTAGGTCCTAAATTATCTAAAGATGCAGAAATATATAGATAAAAGACCAGCATGTTTGAGGTGACTTAATGACCTCTACTCTTAAAGATAAATCATAGAAAATGTTCAGCCTGGTTATTTAAACAGTTTTCTGATAACATTATTGAGACTACAATCTTTAATAATAATAACCTAAAATGTAATGGAGATAACCTCTGTAGAATGAAGTTTCATGTTTTACAGCCTTCTCAGTTACAGATAGCACAAACCAAGCCCCCATCATTTTTTACAGAAAAATCAGTACAACTAGAACATGGATATTATTCCTTGTCACTTTCCTCCCGGTACTCTCTTTTCCAGCCGCAGTGATCATTCTTGTAATATGCTATACACTTTCCCTTCTCCATCCTTCTCTGCTCTTCTGAGAATGCCTTCCTTTTTTCTTTTTTCACCTTCCCTACCTGACCAACACACTTACCCATTTTTAAATAGCAATCCAAGTGTCCCATCTGTGGAGCCTTTCCTAGTTCTCTTCAAAGTTATTAGTTTCCTTCTTTATGTACCAAAGTGCTTTATAAATTAATCTTCTAAAACACTTATGACATTGTATTATATTTACCTGTTGATATGCATGTCTCAACTCTACAATCAAACAGAAACCATGTCACTTTCAGCCCTATAGTTCCAGATTCCAAAAAACCTTCTGGAACACAGTCGGTGCTCAGTGGTCAGGTAAAATGACTATAATTATTGGATTAAAATATTATTCTCTCTCAATATTTTCCCCATCCCTATGATTTTTTTAAATGGCTATCAAAAGTATCTCATGAATCTTTATTATGAAGCTTTTTTATTGATTTACTTTTTTTTTTTTTCAACAAAGCAGTCAACTACAGGTCTTGAATCAGAAACTCAATGTGTGTTAGACCAGGGGTCTTAAGAAAGCAAGCTCAGGTCTAAAAGTAAAACTATTTTAATGACCCAGTCCCATCACATTTGCTTGATCATTAATTATGATTTCTAAATAGTTTTGAGACCCTAAAATAGAAATTACCACATAATTATAGAGCATTATTATATAAGCATGTTTAATTAGGGATTACCATTATCTAAAGAAAAATGTATAGAATCTCCTTTGAGCGTATATATTTTTAAAAAAGGGAAGATTTTTACTGAATATGGTATAATATAGTGGAGAGAGGAAATGTAAGAAAAAAAAATCACTTGTTTCAAGATGAATTTAGTATAGACTTCATTTAGCAGCTACTAAATGCCAGAAACTGTGCTAGACACTGGAGACTTAGCAGTGAGCAAGACAGATATGGTTCTCTGACCTCATGGAACTTAAAATTTAGTGGGGAACTTAGCAAATTAACTATATATATATATATGTATGTATGTATATGATAAAACAAAAGTAAGTATAAATTATCATAATTCTCACATAGGAAACAAACCACCAGGATTGTGTGTTGAAGATTAACAAGGGTATATTTGCCTTACCTAATGCAGTCAGGGAAGATTTCTCTAAGGGTTTGACGTTAAAACTGAGACCTGGAGAATGTGAGGTCAGTTCTGAAACATTAGGAAAAGATCAGGCAGTCTGGGTATAAGGCCAAGCATATACAGGCTGAGATGAGAAAGAGCTGATGTGTTTAAGGAATTTAACAATAAAAAAGTCAAAGTGAGGAAAGTATAGTGACCAAGGAAAAGAGCCGTAGACAAACATGAAACCCTGGAGTAGGCAGAAGTCAGATCACTCAGGGTCTTATTGGCCAAAAGATTTTATTTCAGAGAAGATTTTATTTCATAGAAGTAGAAAAACATAAAAGGTTTTCAACAGCAAAACCACATAATCTGATTGGCGTATTTTAAAGGTCCCTCTGACAGGTTACATGGAAAATGGAGAAAAAACAAAAGGGAAAGTTGGCTGCTTCTGTTGTCCGGGTGTTCAGGTGAAAGGTGAACATGGTTTAGACTGCCAGGATAGAAGTAGAAATGTAGAAAGAAAAAAGGATTCAGGTCGGGCACAGTGGCTCATGTCTGTGTCTGTAATCCCAGCACTTTGGGAGGCTAACGTGGGTGGATCACAAGGTCAGGAGTTCGAGACCAGCCTGGCCAACATGGTGAAACCCCATCTCTACAAAAATTAGCCAGGTGTGATGGCAGGTGCCTGTAATCCCAGCTACTTGGGAGGCGGAAGCAGAAGAACTGCTTGAAAGTGGAAGGTGGAGGTTGCAGTGAGCTGAGATCACACCACTGCACTCCAGCCTGGGCAACAAAGAACAAGACTCCATCAGGAAGGGAAGGGGAGGGAGGGAAGGGGAGAGAAGAAAGAAAGAAAGAGAGAAAGAGAGAAAGGAAGGAAAGAAAGGAAAGGAAAAGAGGAAGGGCGGAAGGGAGGAAAAAAGAAAGAGAAAGAAAAAACGAAAGAAAGAAAGAAAGGAAGGAAGGAAGGAAGGAAGGAAGCAAGGAAAGAAGGAAGGAAGGAAAGAGAAAGGAAAGAAAAGAAAGAAAGAGAGAGAAAGAAAGAAAGATTCAAGAGTGTAGTTTGAAAGTAAAATCAACAGGGTTTTCTGCTGACTTAGAGGTGAAAGTTGGGAAAAGAATGATGCTCTTGTCACAAATGAGGAAGACTGGAGGAGAGACATGTTGGAGAGGTGACTGGGTTAAGAAGATCAAGAGTTCAGTTTGGAGTATTCTAGTTTAAGATGTCTATAAAGTATACAAGTAGATGTGGGAAAGATAAATGAGTCTGGACTTAAGGAGAATCTAGGCTGGAGATGGAAACTTAGGGAGTGTTGGCATAATGATGGTATTTAAAGTCATAAAAGAGATGGGCTTCCCAACAGGATGTAAAGAGAGAAGACAGAAAACCCAACAGAGCTCCAAAACTTACTAGTAAATTTTGGAGGAGGAGCTAGTAGAGGAAACTGAAAAGGAGAAACCAAGGAAATGAGAGAAAGACCCAGAAGTGACAGGGTCAGTGAATCCAAGAAAGGTGAGTGTTTTAAAAGGGAAAGATCAAATTGTTGAATGCTGCTAAAAGGTTAAGGTAACAGTAGAAAGTGATTTGTGTTTTGATAAAACAACATTTACTGTGACAGTGACAAGAGCCGTTTTGAGTTGCGTGGTAGAGGCAAAAGCCATATTGAATTAAAATAGGAATTAGGGTAGCAGGAAGGGAACGGTGATATACAATTTCTGAGAAGTCCATCTATGGTTGTGAAATAAGTTAGTAGCTACATGGAATATGAGGACCAAAGAAAGTCTTCATTGATTTGTTTTAGTGGGATTTGAGGAGACCTGTTGAGAAGAGAAATCCTAGAATGTGTTTGAATACCAGTAGGAATGATTCACTCTATATGAGAAAATGAATGATGCAGGAGAGAGACAGGGAATAACTGAAGAAGGGAAATATTTGAAAGGTGAGAGGTGGCATGTCCTACAGGACAAGCGGAACAATTTACCTTTGACAGCTGGAGGGATACTTCCTCCACTGTAAATGAAAAAAGAAGAGAAAACAGATGCAGATGAAAGATTTATAAATTTGCTCTTAAGAAAATGGGGCATTTCAATAAGATGGCTACTTTTTTCACCATGAAAAGGAATAGGGCTAGGTAAACATCTAAATGTCTGGAAGTAGGGGTATTGAAATTTTGAGAAAAAGAAGAGGCTATAGAAGAGTCATTTGGGGGTATAAAAAATAGAATTGAGGGAGATGTTGACTGTATATTTAATGGTGTGATCACGACATTAGAGTAAATCCTCATCATCCGAATTTTGTGATTTATTTTTTCCCATATTCCTGCTGCTCCTCAGATTCAGGCACAAAGAAATCAAATGAGTGGGTTTTTACTTGCCTGGATTTTCTAGATGAATGCAATGAAGAAAGAGATGGACAAGGAGTTCAGGACATGTCAAGACAGAGCTCAAAACACTGGGCTGCAGAAAAAGAGAAGTGAAAAAAGCATCCAATAAACAGATGTAATAATAGAGATAATGCATGTGAAGTCTCAAAGATGATGAATTGCTGCAGAGTAATTGAGCAAGTAAGAAAAGGAGAGGAGTTGGTATTGATGTAAAATGTTTAAAGCCAATAATTAAGAGATGCTGCAGACTTGATGTTGAAGTCCATGAAGCAACAATGAGAGCAATTGACTGAAGAGAAAAAGGCACAGGAGATGTGGCTGTCAAGAAACCAAGAGGCCAGGAACTGGCCTTCCCTTTACCAAGAAGCCATAAGAAAGCAAGCTGTAAGAAGTTGTTATAGTTACCCCATTAATATTTAAATAGCTCAACAAGATAATTAAATATTGGAACACGACATTAATCTTTAGTAAACAACAGGAAATACAAAATAGTTGGTGATTTTGGGGAAGAGATGGTGGGAATGAGGTATAGTGCTGGAACAAGGAATTCAGAGTAGCAATGGGTTGTGCCAGAGTGGATTAAACGTGAAGAAAGGCCATTAAGAGAAAGGTGGACATCTACTTTACCCAGTGACCCTGAGGACATGCTTGAGGGGAGTGTGAAGAAAGTGGTATTATTGGAGGACATCAAGTTTTCAGTTAAGATAGGAGATGGAGTTCTCTTAAGAGTAAGAATTGAGGAAGGATAGGAGGTCACTGAACATAGAAAGAGATGTTCAGCAAACAAACTGGAAGAGTGTGGGGATGAGCATGGATGAAGTCAGAGCAGAAGCCTTTGCATAGCAATGTAAAGTTGAGACCAGGAATGATAACACAGCTGGGACTGGAAAGTAGACTGAGATTAAGACAGGAATGAGGCATGGTGTTGGCTCTCTTAGTCTCTTAGATGAGAAATATGGCCTCGATTCCAGTTCTGTAACTAGATCAAGAGGAATTCCAAAACATACTTGGTCATCTGTCCATTGCCAGAGCAGTAGCTGCTCCTTTTGGCCACTGGCAGAAGAATGGCAGTGATGAGAGCATCACCGACTGCCATTTAATGGCAGCTTATTACTCTACTACTCAAAATATACTGCCTTTTTCATTTCCATTGAGTCGTGCCTCACTTAACAATGGTGATACATTCTGAGAAATGCATAGTTAGGCCACTAGGTGATTTTGTCATTGTCTGAACATCAGAGTGTACTTACACAAACCTGGATGCCATAGCCTTCTACACAACTAGGCTGTGTAGTAAAGCCTATTGCTCCTAGGCTACAAACCTGTACAGCATGTTTCTTTACTGAGTACTGCAGACAACTGTAACACAATGGTAAGTATTTGCATATCTAAACCTATCTAACCATAGAAAAGGTACAGTAAAACACATGGTATAAAAGATTTTTTAAAAGGTACACATGTATAGGGCACTTACTATGAACAGAGCTTGCAGGATTGGAAGTTGCTCTTTGTGAGTCAGTAAGTGAGTGGTAAGTGAATGTGAAGGTCTAGGACGTTACTGTACACTCCTGTAGACTTTACAAGCCCTGTATACTTATGCTACACTACATTTATTTATTAAATATTTTTCCTTCAATAATAAATTAACCTTAGCCTACTGTAGCATTTTTACTTTATAAACTTTAATTTTTTAACTTTTTGAATCTTTTATAAAAACGGCTTAAGGACATAGGCATGGACAAGGACTTCATGTCTAAAACACCAAAAGCAATGGCAACAAAAGCCAAAATTGACAAATGGGATCTAATTAAACTAAAGAGCTTCTGCACAGCAAAAGAAACTACCATCAGAGTGAACAGGCAACCCACAAAATGGGAGAAAATTTTCGCAACCTACTCATCTGACAAAGGGCTAATATCCAGAATCTACAATGAACTCAAACAAATTTACAAGAAAAAAACAAAAAACCCCATCAAAAAGTGGGTGAAGGACATGAACAGACACTTCTCAAAAGAAGACATTTATGCAGCCAAAAAACACATGAAAAAATCCTCACCATCACTGGCCATCAGAGAAATGCAAATCAAAACCACAATGAGATACCATCTCACACCAGTTAGAATGGCAATCATTAAAAAGTCAGGAAACAACAGGTGCTGGAGAGGATGTGGAGAAATAGGAACACTTTTACACTGTTGGTGGGACTGTAAACTAATTCAACCATTGTGGAAGTCAGTGTGGCGATTCCTCAGGGATCTAGAACTAGAAATACCATTTGACCCAGCCATCCCATTACTGGGTATATACCCAAAGGACTATAAATCATGCTGCTATAAAGACACATGCACACACATGTTTATTGTGGCATTATTCACAATAGCAAAGACTTGGAACCAACCCAAATGTCCAACAATGATAGACTGGATTAAGAAAATGTGGCACATATACAACATGGAACACTATGCAGCCATAAAAAATGATGAGTTCATGTCCTTTGTAGGGACCTGGATGAAATTGGAAATCATCATTCTCAGTAAACTATCACAAGAACAAAAAAGCAAACACCGCATATTCTCACTCATAGGTGGGAACTGAACAATGAGAACACATGGACACAGGAAAGGGAACATCACACTCTGGGGGACTGTTATGGGGTGGGGGAGGGGGGAGGGATAGCATTGGGAGATATACCTAATGCTAGATGACGAGTTAGTGGGTGCAGCGCACCAGCATGGCACATGTATACATATGTAACTAACCTGCACATTGTGCACATGTACCCTAAAACTTAAAGTATAACAATAAAAATAAACAAAATAAATAAAAACGGCTTAAAACACAAACATATTATACAATTATGCAAAATATTTTTTCTTTATATTGTTATTCTCTACATCTTTTTTCTACTTTTCTTCTTTTTCACTTCTTAAACTTTTTTGTTAAAAACTTAGATACAAACACACATATTAACCTAGGCCTGTGTAGGGTCGGGATCATCGGTATCACAGTCTTCCACCTCCACATCTTGTCCCACTGGAAGGTCTACAGGGCCAATAACACTCATAGAGCTGTCATCTCCTATGATAACAATGTCTTCCTCTGGAATATCTCCTGATGGCCTGGCCTGAGGCTGTTTACAGATAACTTTTTTTTATAAGTAAGTAGATTACACTCTACAATAATGATAAAAAGTGTAGTTTATTGTGAATACATAATCTAGTAACCGTTGTTTATTATCAAGTGTTATGTATTATACATAATTGAATACTTTTATATGACTGGCAGTGCAGATTTATTTACACCAGCATATCACCAGGAACATATGAGTATTGCATTGCACTGTAAGTGACATTATGATGGCTACAGCATCACTAGATAGCAATTTTTCAGCTCTCTTAGAATCATATGAGACCACCATCATATATGCAGTCTGTCATTGACATTGTGTGGCACATGACTGTACTTAGCTCAGTCTGAGAGAGTGTTTTAAAAAATAGAATCCTATCTCTAATGTGTCCTTCCTGAATTTTCTGTTCATGTCTGTGCATGTATTACAGGCTCGTGATAATAGTCACAGATGGGCTTGGTGAAACTTTCATAAGAAATGCATCATAGTGACTGTGCATTGAGGAAAAGTCCTAGTGGATGATCTGTGTCTCTGAAACAGTTTCATTTTCACAAGCTGGTGATGAAGGAGAAGAGGACCTTTGAACTCATCAACCTCATCCTATCTGGTGAAGTTTTAAATGGGAATGCATAGCTTTTTCATTTGTCAAAGACAAGCTTCTTTCCCAACCATGTTTGGACTGCAATTGGAAGATAGAGAAACAAACTATAGCACTGAACAGTCCCAGCTAGAGCAACCCTTCCCTGTGTCACCGCCCTCCCACAACCTCTCTTGCACCCCAATCCCAAGGGGTCAGAGGGAAGCAATAGGATCTAACACAGCAGCAGTGAGGAACTGGCTATGTTGGAGCCTTAAAGAGAGAAGGGGAAAAGGGGGCTTTCAAGAATATACAATAACAAATATGATGGGGGAGGCATGGGTTTTGTTTTGTTTTTTTAATAACAAACTAATAGTTCTTTTCTCAAACAAAAGGAAGTGGTAGTTTCTCAGAGAAAGATACCAGAATCAGGCTCAGAATTAGACTCACTGAGAAAATAGAAAATGCAATGCATCCAATCAAAAATTGTGCCACTTTAATTTCTCTATCTCCTCTTTGAGGAATATGAAGTTATTTTTTCACTAGCTATCTGTTCAAATTATGTACTGTTTATCAAAGGAGCAACAGATTTTTATTCCTGAAGAGAAAAAAGGAAGCCTCAAGAATTTAAAAACAGCTTTTAAAACAATTGTGTTTGTGTATGTATATATTATATATAAGATATAAATATACACATGTATGTGTCTCAGTATATGTGTGTATATGTATGTATATATGCATACACACACACATACACGCACACTGAGATTTTTTTAAATGAGAAAATATACAATGTGTTGTTTGTTACTTCCCTGATGTTAAGAGCTCTTTCTCCTCCTTTTTCTCTCCTCTTCTTCCCCTTCTCACACTTCCCTCTTCTTCCCTTTCCTTCCCATCCTCCTTTCTTTTGTCTCCCTCTCAACCACCATTCTCTGTACCCTAAAGCTCAGAAATGACATAACTAAAATATAGCATGCAGTGGTAAATGGGACCTAATAGCACTGGCTTGAGGAGCTAGGGGCAGAGCAATGAATTGACCCCTGTGTTATATCAGAGAGAACCAAAATATTCAGTCCCATTAAAATTGCCTTGAGATTCCCAGGCACAATGAAGCAGGAGAAGCCGCCCCTGGGTTGGGGGTAGTGCATGTTAAATCTGTAGGAGTACTGCACTGGCAGAGAGCAGATGACCAAACATATTTTCTGGGTTTCCTTTCCAACTCCTGCTCTACAAAAGAGCTGGAGGGGCCCATTCTTGCTACAGTATGAGCCAGGCTGGAAACTCCTCTCCCTGGTCTGTCTCTGATTCCTCACTTTGTACTGTCACAAACCTGGTACTCCTGGTCCCAAAGCATGTTCCCTGCAGCAGCAACTGCTGGTGCCTTCACCTAAGGTCTTCAGCAATTGGTCTGACCCTAGCCTCTCTTGCCATGGAGGAGTTTCTCAGAACAAAATACACAGAGTGAGCTAGTGTGAAGGAGTGATCCGTAGAATTATTTCTGTATTCTAATAGGCTTATTTCTTTCTTCTGAAATTTTTCTGAAACTTCCTGGCTGTAGGCTCTGTCTTCAACTCTGCAGTCTATAAATGGCAGGTTGTTCATCTTTTTAAAAAAATTTTTGAATGGACAAAAATTATATTTATGGTATATAACATGATGCTTTATGTATATATTGTAAAATGGCTAAGTCGAATAATTAACATATAAATTACTTCACATGCTTTTTTGTGATGAGAACATGTAAAATCTACTTTTTTTGCAATTTTCAAGTATAAGATACTGTTTTTATCTATAGTCATTATGACATACAATAGATATCTTTGTTTATCCAATGCAGTAATGATACATCCTTAACTATGAAGCAATAATGCAGTATAGATAAGGCAAATTTTAGGAAATGGAAGCAAAGAGAGAGGGAAATAAAATGTAAAGGAAATAAACACAGGCAGAGTTGGGTGAGGGACATACAAAGAGTGAGAAAAATAAAAATTTTTAAAATGAGTTGAAGAGTCGCCTCCAAAATTTTCTACAAATACAGAAGTTCCTGAGGATGTGTCTGGGTCCAGCTGCAGATTTTATATATTGGACTTGATTATCACTCCTGGTGGCCTTGCCACCTTGGTGTCCCACCTGGTGTCCTGGCAGCTTGAAAATGTGCCCAGCCTGTCTGGGCTGGAGACAGGCCTAGATGACAGGGTAGTTAAATGGAACCATGAAGGAGTGATTATAACATGGTTCAACTCCTCCAATTTATTTTATTATTACTGTTGAAGGATAAATATAGAAAGGAGAGAAAGCCACTCCAAACTTTGAAAAGAAAATCTAGTAATTTCTCTGTGGTATGTTTAGTCTCCTGCATTTGCCCCAAGTTTAAATGCAATTAAATATCTGTAAATCTGATTTTAAAAATGGTAATAACGCTGAGATAACGTGTTTTTAATTAAATTGTTATTTAAACCATGTAAATCATCCTACTGTCAACTTCTTCTATTTAAATCTTTTAAAAAATATTCCACCGGTCATTAAAATGATTTGAATTAATATTTATTGAACTAATATTAATATTAAATAGTAGTATTGCTCTTAACCTTGAAAATTATATATTCTTACTAATATATCTTGATTTTGTTTTATCTAAATGGAAATGAAGCAGACAAAACATAATGCTATGTGGGTGTCATTCAGACCATTATAGTCATCTTCACAACTGGCACCAAAACTGTGACTAAATAAATCAAGCAATAGCCTGCCTTTATTCTTAAAGGTGGTTATAATCAAATTGGTCATGCCACGATACAGTTCAATAACAAGGAACAAATGTGGTCAGAGCTAGCGTTTTACATGCAATACATACATTTAAGCAGAGTATGTCCCATTCTCTTCATTTTCATTCATCTGCTATACTTATTGATTGCCTACTATGTGTCAGCCTCCTGGTAAAAGGCTTGCTGTGTATCTAAGTCCATTCAGGCCATTAAAAAAAAAAAAAGCGTAGACTGGGTGGTTTATAAGCAACAGAAATGTATTTCTCCCAGTTTTCAAGTCTGAGAAGTTCAAGATCAGGGTGCCAAAGACTTGGTGAGGAACTGCTTCCCAGTTCACAGATGGCATTTTTTCCCCTGTAACCTCACACAGTGTAAGGGACAAAAGAGCTTTCTCAGGCCACTTTTATAAAGCCTCTAATCCCATTCATGAGGGCACAGCCCTTGTGACTTCATCAACTCCCAAAGGCCACACCTCCCAATACCATCACCTTGGGGGTGTGAAGATTTCAACATACAAATTTTAGGGGGACACAGACAGACCTTAGCACTAGGGTAGCAAAGCCTGGGGCCTTCCCTCAGGGGCTTACAGTCTAGAGGTGGATTTAGAAAGACAATTACAGTAGAGTACAGTACCTTACATACAGGCAAGATTCCCACCCTGGGCTGGGGTATCCCACCTAGTCTTGAAGAAGATCTAACCTCTTAGCTGATACTAAAGGAAAATAGGGTTTAACCAGCCAAAGGCAGGCTGAGTAAGAAATCGGAGAGAGGCAATTGTGGCCAGTGGGACCATCATTTGCAAAGCAGAGGAAAGAGAAAGCCCCATAGTTTAGGGCAAACATAGGGAGCACATGATGATTAAGTACAGTGTGAGGGAAGTTAAAGAAAATGAGTAGAAGCCAGTGATCATGAAGAGTGGTTTTGGGAAGCAGAGGTGGGAGGATCACTTGAGGCCAGGAGTTCAAGACCAGCCTGGCCGCATAGTCAGACCTCATCTAGAAAAACAGAAGGGAAGGGAAGTGGAAAGGGAAAAGGGGAAAGGGGAGAAGGGAAAGGGGAAAGAGGAAAGGGGAGAAGGGAAAGGGGAAAGGAAAAAGGGAAAGGGGAGAAGGAAAGGATAGGAAAGAAAAACGAAAAGGAAAAAGGAAAGGAAAGGATCTGTTTTTTCTGACAGTGATCATCCTCCAAATATTTTCTTAATAACCACCTTAAAATGAAAATATCTCACAACTATTTAAATAAGTCAACATCATATAACAGACATTTTATGACAATTTTTGAACACAAATTTTTATACCCCATTACAAAGCTTGCAGCATACTTAGAAAAAAAAATCAAACCAAAGTTTCAGAAATGATGTTTATGCCTACTTGTGTCAATTATTTACATGATACATTCCACTACTGATCAAGTAAACAAAACTTTATAAGTTCATTTCTGAAATTCTAGCTGACTCTAAATTTATTTTATGAAACATTTCTCATGCACCATTCTCTCATTCCTCAACATGCAAATTTAAAAATGTTTGGCATCAATTTTTAATAAAAATCTAAAATATTTATAACAGTTGCTAATGATTAATGAAGATCTCTTTGGAAACCCATATGTTGATTATTCATATCATCCTCTATTTTTCTAATCTGTACCAGACTCTGCTCTACTTTTCTAATTTATAAAAATTAATTAATTTCTAATTAAATATATGATGAATAATAAATTAAAAATGACTGTCTTCTCTATTGCCACCTGTTATAATGACAGCCAGATGAATTTAAAATCCTAAGAAAAAATATATACTTCTGAAAACTTCTAGAAATGAATTTAATAAGACATTGTGTTTGCACTAAATTACAAAATTAGGACTATAAGATAAAACTTAAAATTTCACAAGATCCTAATATATATTATATAAAAGTTAAATACCAATAAAACAGCTATACCATTTACAATTCCATATGGAATCAGATGAGAAGCTAGTTAAGAAAACAGCTTAGTAATCAGTATTAATGACAGTATGTTAAGAAGAACCTTATTGTACTGACATTGAATCGTTTTGAGTTTTAAGAAAAAAAAAGGAAAACAGTTTATATATGCATGATAATCAAAGCATATCTAATTTAGTAATAATTTTCAAGGTAAACATTTTCTATAATACAGCATAGGAGGCAAGTAAGCAGAGATATTTTGAGGATTCAAGTATCTGACTTTTGGCAACAAGTGTGAAACTAATACCAAGAAAAATATCAATAGCAATGCTTAAGCAAAATGCCTCTTTTAGTTCTCTGGATCAGCCTGGCTTATTTCATAATTTTCCAATTTCTTGTTCTTAGAGAAAGGCAAGGAGAAAATAAGAACTAACATATGTTACTTCTTATATTACCTCATTTAATCATTTAATATTCACAATCAGCCAGACAGTAGATACAGCCCCTTTTTCACAGAAGAGATGAGTTGTCCATATCATACCTCTGGGAAAGGAATCAAACTGCTATCTACTCTTTACTACAGGTATAGCCTTCAACACAAGGTACTACTTAAGTTCAAGAACTAAGAAATGATATTTTATAATGAGTCCTTTTTCTATAGCCAAAGACAACACTCTTGGGAATGATAACATTCTCACTCAGCATGTTTTAACTGACAAGAAATTAAATATCTTAATCCCTTAAGAGGACCTAGTATGTCTATAATATTTTTATATGTCCCAAAGGGGATTAATACAAAATGCTTTAAATAGCCATTGAGCTAGTGAGGGTTAGATTTGGGCACATTCACTGGCAATCCTAAAATAAGTGAAACTTACACAATATTCAAGTTTCTTTCTCTCTCACATGAGGAAATGCAGAAATTAGCAGCCGAGGACTGTTAGGTCAGCTCCATCAGGGACCCAGACTTCTATCTTTTTGTCTCAGCATTCTAGGGCATGAATTATATCATCCAATTGCCTCATGGTATAAGATGGCTTCTGAAGCTCCAGCCATCACATTGGTGTTACAAGCAGAATAAGACAGAAAGACAGAAATGCCAAGGACTTGTCCCTTTCAGCTGAGACAGCTCTCTTTATTTAGCCTTCCCAGAAGTTTCATACCACCTCTACTTACATCTTATAGGTCAGAACTATGTTGCATGGTTACACCTAGGAGAATGGGATAGACTTTTGTTTAAGCTGGCCAAGTGTCTAGCTAAAAGTCATGGTTCTGCTCCTAAGAAGCAAAGAAAGAATGAATGTTGGAATGAGAAAATGTCCCAGTCTCTACCACAGTCTCTATGCTAAAAGATATTTGGAAATTAACATACATGCAAAGTCAAAAGAAAGTAATAATCAAATTAAGTATTTTTGTCTATAGAATTAGGTCTATACTTAGGCTGGCTTTCAAGTTCCCTGACATTTTGGCATTTTATAAACTGTGCCTCCACTACATGCTCCATATTCCTTCAGTTCCCATCACACCCCAACATCTCCTCAGGAAAATGTGCTGGCCCTGTGCCTTGCACTGACCCAGCAGTAATCACTTGCTTTTATTTTGTGCATCTGAGTGCCCAGCACTGTGCCTTGCACATAGCAATTACACATTGTTTCACAAAGGATGCACCCACCAGGGGCAAGGCAATACATTATGTGCAGGTGAAAAGATAACAGAGACAACTTCAGCATCCTTAAGGATCAATACATCTCAATTAGACATGCAAAATAGAGACAATAATTCCTCCCTGTTAGAGTGTTATTTGGGTTATTTCTTTTAACAACTCTTTTTTGAGTATGTTCTTGGAGCAAAGCATGAGGCTGAACGTTATACAGGCCACAGAGAAAGCAAAACAGTGACCTATCCTCTAAGGGAGTTTATAACCAAGAAGGGAAGATAATATGCACATAACTAAATATAATCCTGGGTAGAGAATGAAATCAGAGAGGATGTACAAAAAGTGCTCTAGAACTCAAGAGTGTAGATGGCAAAATACACACACACACACACACACACACACACACCAGGAAAGAATGAGATACTCTAAATGTCTAAGTTAAAAAAGATGGAATCCAAGCTCAGTTGGCCTTTTCTTTTATGATTCATAAGCCCATGTATGGAAGGTCTGAATAAGTAGGAGAGACCAAGTTAGCCTTAATTTTGTTTTTACTAACTTGACCAGTTTGATGACTAATCCATCTCTAAATTGTATGATTTTTATAGGTACATATTTAGGTTATACCATGCCACATTAAAAATAGCTATTAAGTTGATTAAGACTAAACTCATTTTCAGGATCCATTGTAAACAATTTTTCATGCCTGATGTACACTTAGAGACTCTAGGAAAGGTATTATAATGTGAGCAAAGGTCAAAAGAAAGTTAGGGGAACACTAAATGCACTAAATGTGAATCTGCTATGCAAGGCTACAGGTGTGAAAGTAAATGCTTTCTTGGAATTTTATACCTGGTGTCAAGTAAGGAGAAATGGCCTTATGATCTTTAGTTAATCAGGCCCTCTTTAATGTATAATAGCTCACAAGTAAAATGAGGTATGGAGGATTTAAAGAGCCACAAAAAAAAAAACTGTTAAAAAATTTTAAGACCATTCTTTGTGGGGTTAAACAAAAGGAAATTGACTCATTTTCTGCCTAAAAACAGCTGAAAGGAACATTTAACAATTTTAAATATATGGAAAAAATGTTGAATGCTTCGTCATGAGTCATTCACAGCCAAGAGCATGAATTCCTCCTGTCTACTCTCCTTGCTACCTGGCTCCTGGCCACACCTTGCAAAGGCAACCATTCTCTCACACTTTCCTGTCATGTCTCATCATTGCAAAATCTAGTGATTTTTTTTTTCAGTCCTCATTCTAAGTTCCATACTTGAACTTTCTTTGTGGCTCTCCTGGCCTAACTTCTCTAACTAGGTGTGCCCCAGATTTGTTCCTTATACATTTCCACAGGAAAATATGCTGCTCCCACCCCTTATACTGCCTCTAAGTGTTTTTTCTCAGTCAGCATCGTCAATTCCTCTTCTTCCACCTGTTCTTATAGGTATTTTTGCTCCACCCCTTTTTTTATTGCTATAAATTTTCTATCTGGCTATGAGGCATTAGAATAGGGTCTAGAGGCAGGGAACCTAAAGCTGACTCACTCTGAATTCCTAGAGCTGAATCAAAACGAACCCCACCTGCTCCATGCCCAAGTAACAAAAGGACCAGAGGCTACTCCCTTTGCAAACCCACCCCTTTCCATTGCTTTGAAGAGGAACAATGGAAAGTACCTCTGATTGTTCCCCTCCTACCACCAATCAGACTGGTTGCAGGCCAAGTCTATTCTTTCCCTGGGTTTCAATGTTCAGGTCTATGCTATGACTTTTAAATCTACATTTAAACCCCTTATCTCCTAAATTTTGTCTCCAAATTTCCAATTCTCTACATAGCAATCAATGTCCATATTTCAGATCCCATGGCCAGAATCTGGATTCACTCCCATAGATTTCCATCTTCTCACCCTCCTGTGTTCCCCATCTCACCTTTTCCCTGTTCTTTCTTATCATCCACACTAGAAATATGAAAAAGATGTGCCAATACTTTGAGGATCAAAAACCCATGTTGGTCTACCTCTGCCACATCTCCAAACCCCAGCCCTCCTCATTCTCCTATTTATTGTCTCTTAGCCTAACCCATCACAGTAGTCTGGTGTTTTGTTTTGTTTACTTATCTGCCATTTTTCATATGTCCAATCTACCTCATACCATTTTATATATATATATATATATATATATATATATATATATATATATATATATATATATAATGATTTTGCAGGCATTATGTACTATTAAAGTACTTCTCTAGACTACGTTACTATAAATTTTAACAAAATAATTCCCTTGTTGTCTGCTGTGCTAAATGATTTCACAAGGCAATCTCTTTCTCTCTCTTTCTCTCTCTCTATATATATACATAATTTTTTAACAGTTTTTTTGTGGCTCTTTAAATTCTCCATACCTCATTTTACTTGTGAGCTATTATACATTAAAGAGGGCCTGATTAACTAAAGAAGATAATAAAGAAATTATCCATATATATATATATGTATATATATATATATATATATATATATATATATATATATAGAGAGAGAGAGAGAGAGAGAGAGAGAGAGAGAGAGAGAGATATTTTATTAATTCATTTCCCAACTGGTAAACCCTCCAAGGGTCTCAGGCACCTATAAGTCTATGCTTTTTAATGTGGGATAATCAATGGCCTGATTTTGAATTCCTATATTTTTAACATCTTATCTGTGGCAAAAAAAAAAAAATAGAAATTGAACTTCCACATGATCATCACATTTTTTACCTTTGCTCAAACTGTTCTATCAGCCTTAAATGCCATTTTCTCATCTCTACCTTTTTAAATCATATTGAGAATAAAACTTTTTATAAACAAAGCCCAAAACGCTTTGTAGCCCACTTTGGTAAGAAAGAATACTATTTGGATGACATTTGCATTGAAATCTTCAAAATACAAAATCTAAACTAAGACCATTATAAAAGAAACATAAAGGATCGATGTTTTAAAATGTAGTAAGTCAGTGATTAAAAAATGCAAAAATCATTGTAAATCGCTTGTAGCACATCAGTCTTAGCAGGGCATTTGAAACTGTGAGATGAGCAAGGGGAGACATTATATTCTTTCAGGTGATTTTTCAGGCATTATGTACTATTAGAGTACTTCTCTAAACTATGCTACTATAGCCTTGGAAAATAATTATGAAAATTTTAACAAAATAATTCCCTTTTTGTCTGCTGTGCTAAAATGATTTCACAAGGCAATACATTTATGAGAGGGTAAAACTACTTTATTAACTTACGGAATGGATTCTTCGGGGTCCTAAAAAAGAGCTTTACCACCTAGACCAACCCCACCCCATCCTCAGAGTTCCTGAATCTGATGGGAGGGGCGAGGCCTCATACCTGCAAACTGACCTGGATCATCGTAGGCTTGCTTGAGCTGAAAGGAAAAAGCTTGAGCTGAAAGCTGGGCATTTAAAAACATATTTCAACATATTTCACAACCTCTGAAATATTTCTAATTGCTGGGACTCTCTTGATGATAAACTTGGATAAATTATTGAGCATTATCAATAGTATTTTCTTAATTTATACAGTTCTACTTTTAAAAACTTGTTTCTATAACTAAATTGTGTCCATTATCTAGTCATGTAGAAAGACAGTTATTTCCAACTATTCCTTCATGCAACTCTCATTTGTTTATTTGACTTGTGTAAAATACCATTACTTCTGAGACACAACGTTCAGCAAGTGTTCAGTTTAAAGTCAAATAAAGGCAATGATATGGATAAAAGTAGCAATTGTAGAAAGTCGAATCTGGTAAGTGCCATAAAAATTGTTGCATAGCCATTTAAAAGAGAAGCAAAGCTCACTTAAGCTACAGGAGTTAGATTAGCACTATGAAGAAAAAGATACTTGAAGGGGGTCATGAAGAATGTGTAGCATTTCAAACAGATAGTAAGATGACAATTCCAGGCTAAAGAAATTATCCCAATAAAGTGTAGAATGTTGGGATTGTTTGGTCAATGATGAGTATTCCAGCTTAGTGGTTGAAAGTAGCATCAAAGAGTAGCAGGAAATAACAGAATGGTTGATCATGATCACAGTCAAGCACTCACAGAGGACCTTGAATGTCAGGCTATATATGGCTTGAACCATTTCATTCTTTGTTCTGCCATCAAGGGAGGGCCATCAGCAAGATTGTGCTATACACCGATGTAGTAACATTTTGGGGACTAGATTTATGGAATATGAGGAAGCACTGGAAGGAAAGACAGGGTGCAGGATGGCTGAATAAAGAATGGATGAGTCACATTAAATCCTCAGGTCTTGGCAAATATTTGGCTATGTTGATGGGGTGGAAGGTGAGAGACTAGAAAAATTGTGGAGTTTCTAGCCATGGTAAAACAAAACAAAACAAAAACCCAGAGGGTATGATAAGCAGAAATCAGAAAAAGAGGTAGAGGGTCAGGTTTAAGGAACATTGAAAGGCCTTTTCCTAAAATGTTTTTTTATGGTGGGGCAAAATGAGTTACTCCTAGCAGCTTTGAGAGCATGCTAAACCTGGTTGCTTCTTAACACTCACCTACTGCTTCTGTATTCCTGCTGGCACTCCCTTTTGCCTCTTACAGCATTTAAGTAGCATGATACCCCATCCCTCCTACTTTTGAACTCTCCTCCTTTGCCTATAAAAACCTAAATCAGACTACATGTTTCGAAATGAGCATGAAAAACCATTTCATTGACTTAGAGAATGGATTCTCTGAGGTCCTAATAAGAAACTTTACCACCCAGGTCGGGCACAGTAGCTCACACCTGTAATCCCAGCATTTTGGGAGGCTGAGGTGGGTGGATCACTTAAGATCAGGAGTTCGAGACCAGCCTGGGCAACATGGCAAAGCCCCTTCTCTACTAAAAAAAAAAAAAAAAGGAAAAGAAAAAAAAAAAAACAAATGAAAAGAAAGAAAAAAGAAACCCAACCCCAGCCCATCCCCATCCTCAGAGTTCCTGAATCAAGGGTTGGGAGGAACAAGGTCTCACACCTACAGTCTGACCTGGATCACCCAAGGCGTGCTGGAGCTGGAAACAAGATATTTAAAAATATATTTCAAAATGTTTCCAATGTCTGAAATGTTTGTAATTGTTGGGACTTTCTTACTGATAAACTTGGCTCAATTACTGAGCACTATCAATACAGTTTTATTTCTTAAAGTAATTATATAGTTTTGCATAAAAAGCCCTGTTTCTATAATTAAATTCTGTCAATTATCTGATCATGTCAAAAGACTGTCAATAAATTATTATTAATGATGATAAGAGACCTTGAAATGATTAAAATATTTGTTATTATTTATTCTGCTCAATATGTTGACTTTTAAATCTTCTTAATTCTTGAACGCCAGAGAAATGCTGAAATTCCTGGAGGTTTTGAATAGTTCATAACTAACATTAATATTTTATGAAATTCAATAAACACATAAAATGATTCTAAAAACTTAATAACTTGGGAAGGCACCAGCTTATTATGTAATTATCAGGCCAAAATTTTATCAGCCTATAACTATATGAGACTGTTTCAAATATTCACTCCTTCTCAGGGAAAAATGGAATTATATATAAGCTTTAGACAAGTTTTCTTCTTTTAACCAGCTTTTCAAATTTATATTGCTTTTTGTGGAGTAAAAAATAGCCAAAATACTAAAACCAAAGCAAACCTTTGTATAAAATTATGGTGATATAATAAAGATATTATAGATTTAGTCCTGTCGATTTCATTTTACAATATTTGCTACAATAAAAAGAAAAAACGTTGAGAACTCAGGTGCTACTGCAAAAGGTTTAGATATTTTATGACATTCCATAACTCAATCCTCCAAAATTGCTTATTTTTTGCTTCATTCACCCACTCATCCAATCATTCATTAAACATTTATTCAGCATCTATTACCACAAAGCAGGAGAGGGAAACAGGAACAAAAATAAAATTACTAGCCTAAATGTGAATATTCTCTCATTTCCTAGTAGTCTGCAATATCAAATTATCATCACCAAACAGAATAATTTTTTACAAACTAAGGTATTTTTAACTTTCAGGAAATTGAAGATAATCTTGTGCCAAAATTTTAAATATACAAATGTCCAGAAAAAAATGGACACAAGAGCTTGAAATGGAATTAGAAAGCCACTAGACACAAAAGTGCAAAACTGCCAAGAAGTATTCTATTCTGGTTGACCAGCAAAAAAGCATCAAAGAAGCAAGAAGATTAAATTTTAAAAGAATGCAAAGATAGATGATAGAGTAGTATTTACACTGGCTTACAGGTTACAAAGTGTTTTCATGTATGTGATTTCTTCTCATTTCAACTTCTTTAGTTTTAGGTATGGTACTTTATGGCAGTGTGTGTGTGTTTCTGTATACTTTTTTTTAAAACCAAATAATCATTTCTTTTTCTGTAGGAAATTTTCTCCATCTCCAAAGACACTGAAGATTCATCCATCTATGTCTAACTTAAAATGACAAGATGTGTTTTCTTTGATTTATTAGTAAACAACTAAATAGCAACATTAAGCTTTTAGGAAAAGATTAACAACATTGCACTGTAGTACCTGTCATGGTAATTTAAGTGAAAGCTGTTAAAAATGTTTATTCTTTATAATGGAGCATTCAATAGTCTTTGCCTAATGGATGGAGAGATGGTAAGAAACACCTTTGGAACTAGGGCAGCATGATAAGATGCAACCACGCTTTAGTCCAAAAAGCAGCTTGTTTTAAAATTGTTAAATATTGAATATATGGTATCATATCTTTTCTCAATTGCATATACTTTTTTTGTTCAAAAGCCTTAAATCTATATTGTGCATAAAACTGAATTTATTTGATAAAACTAAGGGTTATTCATCTAATTTTGCAACTTTCCTTCACTTTCTCTGGAAAACAAAAATGCCTGGATGTAAACAGATGCTCCCCCTAAGTACTGAACCAACAGTCAAAAATATGAGAATATGAGATCTTTTTCCCCTTGTAGCTGTGAGAATAATGATCATTCCCACCTTGACAGTGGGGAAGTGAATCATTGATGAATAAAATCACTTTTTTGTTAGAGGAAATAATTGAAATAGACTTAAAGATGAAAACCCTAGAATGTGAATTATTTCTTTTCACCAAAAGTCACAATACATCTTCCAGAAAATTTGATCTATTCACCCACTAAGAGATTGAGACTTTTTAAAACTCCTCACAGTATGTAAATTAAATAAACATTTAAATTCTGGATGTGAATTAATATGAAAGTTTATCTGTCACAGAAATTAAATTTCTGAACTTTTATTTAGAAATCAGTTTCATGTCTTTATGAAAACCTAGGTCAGTGCAATATTTGCATTCCAAATTTCTTCCCTCCTCTGATTACAGAGGTGAACAGCATGTGAAATCTGAATCTGTAAATGTTTCCATTATACCCACTTCTATGACATAAACATTGATGAATCAAAGATAATTGTACGTATTTGTTCAGTTAATTTGTTTATTTTTATGAGACCTTGCTACTATAGTCCCTACATTTTACTAAATTGAGTTTATTTTTACAGATACAAACCAAAATTCTTTCATTTGGAAAGAAATCAAAATATACTAACTCTTAAATCAGAATTAATCTGGATTTTAAAATACATTAAAATTTGAATTGGTGATCTTTGAACCAAAAAGATATATCAAGGAGATTAATCAACATCAAAAAGGCAGTTTCAGGAGAGTAGAAGTTGAATTCTATCCATTGTAGTCTGTTGACCGGAACACTAGCAAAGGAAGTGTGGTTTTTTAAATTAAGTTGGGAAAACTAATCTGATTATATTATAAAATGGAATAAAATTGAGAGAACTAAGTCATCTAGGGAATATCTAACTGTGGATGCAATATATTTAGACAACCAATCAATTAGTTTGCCATGGAGCAGAAATATGTGCAAGTAAAAAATGGTGCGTTAAAGAGGGTTTCCTTGGTTTTCCAAGCAGAAGCCTTCAAAGATGTATGAACCTTAGGAGATGAGCAAAATAAACCACATAGTACAGAAAAACTATTACTAGAATTTTTATTTACATTTACTCTTCATATAACAGTGAGAAAGAAATAAAGCTTTATTAATATTTAATTGTAGACCAACTCTAGTGCCCTTGTTTGATATCTTTCAGTGGGTAGTGTATGCCGTACAGTCCTCTTGATGTCCTGATGGAAAATCTGGCATGGCAACAGAGAAACTCACACCCATTCATCAGCTTTCATCATACTACATTGGATTGCAGAATATGTTCAAGAAAGTAGATTTACAGATTTTATTACCAAACTGTAACTAAACTATTCCTCACACAAAGAACAAAGGCTTAAAAGATTATTGACAAGAAACTGTGGACCAAAGGAGATACCACAAAGTAAGCAGAAGCAGACAGCAGGAGCAAGGCAGAGCTGGCATTACACTTCTTCCTATGATGAGCTCACCAACCACACCATGGGGTATAAAAGCAACGATGAACAATAGCTGAGAAGATGTAGGGCCAATTTTCTTTTTGTAATCTTCAAAAAGACTATTTGAAATGTAGATTTATATTCATTATTGATAATGATAAACCATATTTTAAGTGTATATCTCACCTTGAAGATAAGTAAACTGCCTTATATTTTATTATTTTAAATTTAATCATTTATCATTATATTATATAATACACATTATGTATTATACAATATATTAAAGATAATATAACATATTATATATATATATAGGCATTTATTGAATGTGGATGCTCTAAATATTTTACTGGAAAGAGTTCATGATCAATAAATGTATGTTCCACTATAAAACTAAATAAAGCAGCTCATAGTTTATTCCAACACAAAATAGAGATCTCTGTGAATTTATACTCTTCAGAAAAGCAAATGAAAGAAAAACAGAGGAAGAGTTAGTACAGTGTCTTTGATACTGCTTCCTGAATTTCAATAAACTGGTCTCATTGCTCTATTCAGAGCAGAACATTTGTTTTCATGGTTGAAGTGGCTACACTCCAGTCGTATGCTAAAGCAGGGGAGGGAGGGAAGTAGAAAAAAAAAAGGAACAGGCAGACAGAAAGACAAACAGAAAAAGAGAAAAAAATAACAGAAAGATAAAACAAGACAGGAAGACAGGCAAATAGAAGGAAAGAGTAAAAGGCAGAGAAAAAAAAACGAATAGACACAGAAGAAAAGAAGGACAGAAGGAAGGAAAGACAAAATGAAAAACTGACAGAAATGTAGAAAGAACAATGAGCACTGCCCCCTCCTGCACCCACTGTCCCTCTCTGGAACTAGGGAAGTGCCTCCAGAACATAGAGAAGCCTGGTATCCCTATGCCCTCTTCCTCCTCCTTCACTTCACCAAACTTGCCCACTTCTCACCATCCACAGGAAAATTCCTATATACACTCATTTTTCTTCATGCCACAGGAATGAGCTAAAGGCCACAGTTTCCATTGCAAAAATGACAGGAAAGAAATAGAAAACAGTGAGTAATTTATAATAAGGGTTAATTAGTTCTTTAAGTAGTAGAAACCATAATGTATAATCTGTTTCCAAAACAGAGCAAACACGCAGCACGAGTCTGCAAGGAATGATTTATTTATGCACGAGGATAACTCTACGGGTAGTGACTGTGATAAAGAGCAGGAGACAGATGTGCTACAGATATCTGCAGAGTTACAAAAAAATTTAGAACACTGATTTAATATACAAGGGGCAAAAATACGACCCATAATAGGGACATTAAGAAGCAATTCAAAGAATTCAAGACCCCCACACCATCTAACACGTTCTGGAGTCTTTACCTTTTTATCTTTATTTCTGTTCACTCTGCCTCCACAAGTTCAGGCTGGAGGACCACTGGCCTCCAATATTGCAATAATCCTTTATTTGACTGTCCTGCCCTCGATGTCTTCATTTTAATCCATCTTGACTATTTCTGTACTAAGTTTCCTGGAGTGTTGTTCTTTTGTGACTGTTTAAAATTCTTCAATAGAGGCTCATTGTCTCCTGAATTCTTCAGTCTGGAATTCGACAGCATGATCATGATCCCAACATACCCATCTAGGGCTATTGCACATTTTCCCCTATCGTGTATCCTTATCTCTCCCCGATAGATGTGTTCTTCAAAAGACCATTAGGGACCAAGTGAGGTGACTCTTCTGAGTTGGTTCTAATGGTCTTTTGAAGAACACATTCCCCCATTCCCTTGGTTTAACTCAAATGATCCTCCATCCACCAAATAGTCCCTGAGCCTCCCAGCCAGCTCTAGGCTCTCTGCCCCTTGACTCATCCTAGCCCTTTCTCTTTATTAAGACCCAGACTCACAGCCTCTACAAAACTTGAGCTGCAAACGAGGACATCATCTTGTAATGCCACTGAATTCTCAGCCACTGGAATGATACCAAGCAAATCACAGAGCTCAGGAAATATCTGTTGAATAAACGATGCAAGCAAATCACAGACCTCAGCAAATACCTGTTGAATGAATGAAGCATATCTGTTGAATGCTACCAAGCAAATCACAGAGCTCAGGAAATATCTGTTGAATGCCTAGTGCTATGGTTACTTGTCTTATTCTTCCTCCTGACATCAATATATTGAAGGTGAGTAAGGCCAGTGTCTTGTCCTCATCAGAGTCCCTGCAAATCTTATGCAATGCCTTATGTATGAAAAAGCATACTCTGAATTCTCATGTAAGTCAAATATTTTAGAAAACAAGAGAAAATGCCAGGTGTGGTGGCTTACGCCTGTAATCCCAGCACTTTGGGAGGCCGAGGCAAGTGGATCACCTGAGGTCAGGAGTTTGATGAAATGAATGAAATGAAGTGAGAAGGGAAGTTTAGAGAAAAAAGAATAAAAAGAAACGAACAAAGCCTCCAAGAAATATGGGACTATGTGAAAAGACCAAATGTACGTCTGATTGGTATACCTGAAAGTGACGGGGAGAATGGAACCAAGTTGGAAAACACTCTGCAGGATGTTATCCAGGAGAACATCCCCAATCTAGCAAGGAAATACAGAGAACGCCAAAAAGATACTCCTCGAGAAGAGCAACTCCAAGACACATAATTGTCAGATTCACCAAAGTTGAAATGAAGGAAAAAATGTTAAGGGCAGGAGTTTGAGACCATCCTAGCCAACATGGTGAAACCCCATCTCTACTAAAAATACAAAAATTAGCCAGGTGTGGTAGCACAAGCCTGTAGTCCCAGCTTACTCGGGAGGTGGAAGCAAGAGAATCACTTGAACCTGAGAGGTGGACGTTGCACTGAGCCCAGATCATGCCACTGCACTCCAGCCTGGGTGACACAGCAAGACTTCATCTAAAAAAAATAAATTAAAGGTCGGCCGCGGTGGCTCATGCCTGTAATCCCAGCACTTTGGGAGGCCGAGGTGGGCAGATCACGAGGTCAGGAGTTCGAGCCCAGCCTGGCCAACATGGTGAAACCCCATCTCTACTAAACATACAAAAAAAATTAGCTGGACATGGTGGCAGGAGCCTGTGATCCCAGCTACTCAGGAAGCTGAGGCAGGAGAATTGTTTGAACCTGGGAAGCAAAGGTTGCAGTGAGCCAAGATCTCACCATTGCACTCCAGCCTGGGTGACAGGGTGAGACTCTGTCTCAAATTAATTAATTAATTAATTAATTAAAATAAAAAATAAAAACAGGAAAAAAAAGAATGAACTTCAAAGAGCAGATTCCATTTTACAGCTTATCCTTACAAATGATATGTATATAAGCAGTGGGTCTGCAAGACACTGCTGGGAGGTAGCTGCACAGTTACTCTGACACAGTGATTTCATTAATGAGTTTGTAGAGCCTCTGTTGTGTCCTCAGTCAGAAGGGATGTGAAATCCAGCAATCATGTTATCCTACAGCACTTGCTCTCAGTGAAGTGCATCTCTCTGTCCACTGTGTCATCTGTCTTAGAATTTAGTCTCATTTAAACCTAGGGCCATCTGCCTATTACTCCTTTGTAAAGAAATATCCACCTTCTGCAAAAATGTCCTCATACTCTAGACTCACTGAGTCTTTCTATTATAATCGTATACATAAAGAGATTAAATATCAGACCATATTTTGTCATTTTAAGTCTATTTAAAGTGACTATTAAACCTTTATTTTGATACTTGGAAACATAAGGGAAAAAATTACATTCTCAAGTCTACCCACCTACTGTTAGCCTAAGGTATAATTATTGTTATTAGGGATTAGCAACCAAGTAAATGCCTTTTAATTCACAAAAGCTAAAAAGAAGCTGGCTGAAAAGAAGAAATTACTGTTTAACAAGAAAATAATGAATACCATGTCTCAGATGAATATATCTTTGTATATTTAATAATAAGTATTACATATTGGTATAATATTATTTTGATCATACTTCAAAATAAAGTGCAAAGACATGAAATTTTAACACAAGTGATTTCAAATATTATAACTCTTTTTTATGACTGTGTTGTTACAACTGGGGTTATATAGAGAATGTCAGCATTATAGAGAAGAAATGTTTCTTATCTAAGATTTGACCATCTCAGTAATTTGTTATCCATTTATCCACCAAGTTTGATGAACCACACTTCTTTGACAGGAAAAGATACAGCTTATGGAGTCAGACTTCTCCCTGCACAGACAATTCAGTCGATTCTGACAAAAGCAGATACAGAGAATTATATCATTGTCAAAATGTTCTTAAATTTTTCATATTTGTGAATATTGCTTTCTTCTGGATGAGCAACCAGGCACCAACTTTGTAAGCTTAAAACACTTTAAACTCTTTTGTATTGGATATTATTTTTTATATAACCTGATAAAAATTATGTTCACAATGTTTAAAATATTCTTATGTATAAATGATTACAGGGTTAAGGCAATATGGGAACTTTGACACATTTGTGTTTTCAAACATGTATCTTTCTTCAAATGGAAGTTTCTAACTCTGGAGAAATAGCCTTTTGTTGTCATTCCATGTTAATTTATGGAATACAAGAAAATATATTTTATGTCTCATGATAGCTTCTAGGTAAACAATTAAAATCAAAGCAAAACTTGGTAACATCACCAAATGAAAATTTACAATAGCTTAAAAGTCACATACATTCTAAGAAAAATGTACATGCAGTAAGTAATATGTTTTCTTTTTACTTTTATTTTTAATTGATAATAGTTATGTATTTATGGGGTACAAAGTGACATTTTAATATGTGTATGCATTATGAAATGACCAAATCAGAGTAATTAGCATATCCACCTCAAATATGTACTATTTCTTTGTGATGAGAACATTTAAGATTCTCTCTTTTAGCTTTTAGTAGGTGAACTTTAATGCCTGCCCTTTGGGGCAAATATTATGCATTTCCTAGCACCTCAAACTCAGGGTTGTGAGTTTAAGACCATAACAAACATAATGGTTTGTAGGAAATATGTATTCTGAGGCCTGATTTTCTGAATTGGAATGACTTTTACTGAGCTGACTTTGTGTCTCTATTTTCTCACTTGGAAAAAAAAGGACACATAGGGTTATCATGAGGATTAAATGAATTAGCATTTGAAAGCACTTAGAACCATACCTACCACATAATAAGCACTAGATTAATATTTATTAAAAGTAACATGTGACAAACTCACTCAAAACTGCACAACTACATGGAGACTGAACAACCTGCTGCTGAATGACTACTGGGTAAATAACGAAATTAAGGCAGAAATAAAGATGTTCTTTGAAACCACTGAGAACAAAGATACAATGTACCTGAATCTCTGGGACACATTTAAAGCAGTGTTCAGAGGGAAATTTATAGCACTAAATGCTCACAAAGAAAGCAGGAAAGAGCTAAACTCAATACCCTAACATCACAATTTAAAGAACTAGAGAAGCAAGAGCAAACAAATTCAAAAGCTAGCAGAAGACAAGAAGGAACTAAGATCAGAGTAGAACTGAAGGAGATAGAGCAACAGAAAACCCTTCAAAGAAAATCAGTGAATCCAGGAGGTGGTTTTTTGGAAAGATCAACAAAATAGATAGACTGCTAGCCAGACTAATAAAGAAGAAAAGAGAGAAGAATTAAATAGATGCAATAAAAAATGATAAAGGGGATATCACCACCAATCCCACAGAAATACAAACTATCATCAGAGAATACTATAAACACCTCTATGCAAATAAACTAGAAAATCTAGAATAAATGGATAAATTCCTGGACACATACACCCCCCCAAGACTAAACCAGGAAGACGTCCAATCCCTGAATAGACCAATAACAAGTTCTGAAATAGAGGCAGTAATTAATAGCCTACCAAACAAAAAAAGTCCAGGACCAGATGGATTCACAGCCGAATTCTACCAGAGGTACAAAGAGGAGCTGGCACCATTCCTTCTGAAACTATTTCAAACAATTGAAAAAAAGGGAATCCTCCCTAACTCATTTTATGAGGCCAGAATCATCCTGATACCAAAACCTGGCAGAGACACACACACACAAAAGAAAATTTCAGGCCAATATCCCTGATAAACATTGATGCAAAAATCCTCAATAAAATACTGGCAAACTGAATCCAGTAGCACATCAAAAAGCTTATCCACCACAATCAAGTTGGCTTCAGCCCTAGGATGCAAGGCTGGATCAACATATGCAAATCAATACATGTAATCCATGACGTAAACAAAACCAATGACAAAAACCACATAATTATCTCAATAGATACAGAAAAGGCCTTCAACAAAATTCAACAGCCTTTCATGCTAAAAACACTCAATAAACTAGGTATTGAAGGAATGTATCTCAAAATAATAAGAGCTATTTATGACAAACCCACAGCCAATATCATACTGAAAAGGCAAAACTGGAAGCATTCCCTTTGAAAACCGGCACAAGAAAAGTATGCCCACTCTCACCACTCCTATTCAACATAGTATTGGAAGTTCTGGCCAGGGCAATCAGGCAAGAGAAAATAAAGGGTATTCAATTAGGAAAAGAGAAAGTCAAATTGTCTCTATTTCCAGATGACATGATTATATATGTAGAAAACCCCATCGTCTCATCCCAAAACCTCCTTAAGCTGATAAGCAACTTCAGCAAAGTCTCAGGATACAAAATTAGTGTGCAAAAGTCACAAGCGTTCCTATACATCAATAACAGACAAAAAGAGATCCAAATCATGAGTGAACTCCCATTCACAATTGCTACAAAGAGAATAAAATACTTAGGAATACAACTTAGAAGGGATGTGAAGGACCTTTTCAAGGAGAACAACAAACCACTGCTCAAGGAAATAAGAGAGGAAACAAACAAATAGAAAAACATTCCATGCTCATGGATACAAAGAATCAATATCGTGAAAATGACCATACTGCCCCAAGTAATTTATACATTCAATGCTATCTCCATAAAGCTACCATTGACTTCCTTCACAGAATTGGAAAAAACAACTTTAAATTTCATATGAAACTAAAAAAGAACGCACATAGCCAAGACAATCCTAAGCAAAAAGAACAAAACTGGAGGCATCATGCCACCTGATTTCAAACTATACTACAAGGCTACAGTAACAAAAAGAGCACAGTACTGGTACCAAAACAGATATATAGACCAATGAAACAGAACAGAGGCCTCAGAAATAACACCACACACCTACAACCATCTGATCTTTGACAAACCTGACAAAAACAAGAAATGGGGAAAGGATTCCTTATTTAATAAATGCTGTTGGGAAAATTGGCTAGCCATACGCAGAAAGCTGAAACTGGATCCCTTCGTTACACCTTATACAAAAATTAACTCAAGATGGATTAAAGACTTAAATGTAAACCCTAAAACCATACAAACCCTAGAAGAAAACCTAGGCAATACCATTCAGGACGTAGGCATGGGCAAAGACTTCATGACTAAAACACCAAAAACAATGGCAACAAAAGACAAAATTAACAAATGGGATCTAATTAAACTAAAGAGCTTCTGCACAGCAAAAGCAACTATCATCAGAGTGAACAGGCTACCTGCAGAGTGGGAGAAAATTTTTGCAATCTATCCATCTGACAAAGGGCTAATATCCAGAATCTACAAAGAACTTAATTTTACAAGGAAAAAACAAACAACCCCATCAAAAAGTAGGCAAAGGATATGAACAAACTTCTCCAAAGAAGACATTTATGCAGCCAACAAACATATGAAAAAAAGCTCATCATCACTGGTCATTAGAAAAATGCAAATCAAAACCACAATGAGATACCATCACATACCAGTTAGAATGGTGAGCATTAAAAAGTCAGAAAACAGACGCTGGGGAGGATGTGGAGAAATAGGAACGCTTTTACAATGTTGGTGGGAGCGTAAATTAGTTCAACCATTGTGGAAGACAGTGTGGCAATTCCTCAAGGATCTAGAACTAGAAATACAATTTGACCCAGCAATCCCATTACTGGGTATATACACAAAGGATTATAAATCATTCTACTATAAAGAAACATACACAAGTATGCTTATTGTGGCACTGTTCACCATAGCAAAGACTTGTAACCAATCCAAATGCCCATCAATGATAGACTGGATCAAGAAAATGTGGCACATATACACCATGGAATACTATGCAGCCATAAAAAAGGATGAGTTCATGTCCTTTGCAGGGACATGGATGAAGCTGGAAACCATCATTGTCAGCAAATTAACACAAGAACAGAAAACCAAACACTGCGTGTTCTCACTCAGAAGTGGGAGTTGAACAATGAGAACACATGGACACAGGGAGGGGAAACATCACACACCAGGGCCTGTGAGGGGGTGGGGGGCTTGGGGAGGGATAGCATTAGGAGAAATACCTAATGTAGATGATGGGTTGATGGGTGCATCAAACCACCATGACACGTGTATACCTATGTAACAAACCTGCATGTTCTGCACGTGACACCAGAACTTAAAGTATATTAAAAACAAAGGAACATCTGACAAGATAACACATCATGAAATGGTATAATAATGAAACAAATACATTTGTAGAAGAGAAACACATTTTCTCATATTACTTTAGATTTCTTTTTTCTGTTACAAATTTATCTTTCTCATAAGTCTTTACCCTGTTAGATGAAGATAAGATGAGGAGGTAGTGGAGACAATATGACTCTGGCCCTTTGTATTAATATTTAACCTCCTTCAGAAAATATTTTTTAATGGATAGTTGACATCTCCTCTTCCATCTCTTGTTGCTCCCATATCAAGAGTAAGGAAGTTTAAATGATTCTACAATTCTTTGCCCTGGTGCAAGATTAAGCTTCATGACAGAGGGATGAAGACTTTGCTGTGTGATTTTTCTCATTCTACTTGACTTTTTTTTCTTCTTCCCACATTTCTCTAAGGATGGAAGGGATAAAATTTTTACCCTTTCCTCATGGTCTAGACTTCCTCATGCCATATCCCTAGGTCTAGCTACATCTGGTTTATAACAACCTGTATACGCAGATTAGCCAGGCCTAGCTCTTGGTATTCTACCAGCAGAACACAATTAAAAATTACAGATTACCATGTTCAGTAAATATATGGTTTACTATTCTAAAAGATAATATTCCTTTAACCTCTTATTTTTTTTCTTTTTTTTTTTTTTTTTTTTCCTGAGACGGAGTCTCGCTCCGTCACCCAGGCTGGAGTGCAGTGGCGCGATCTTGGCTTGCTGCAAGCTCTGCCTCTTGGGTTTACGCCATTCTCCTGCCTCAGCCTCCCGAGTAGCTGGGACTACAGGCGCCCACCACCATGCCCACCTAGTGTTTTTGCATTTTTAGTGGAGATGAGGTTTCACCGTGTTAGCCAGGATGGTTTCAATATCCTGACCTCGTGATCCGCCTGTCTCGGCCTCCCAAAGCGCTGGGATTACAGGCATGAGCCACCGCACTTGGCCTATGAATTTATTTTTCTAACAAGTCAAAAATGCCTGGAGAAATAGATACAAGTTATTTCTTCATTATAACTCTTAACATAGTATTTTACAAGTTTTTAGAGAATATTCAATACACCATCTGATTGTACAGATTGTACACTATTATACACTATCATATAAGTATAATATCAAATAGCATCTTATATGTATATTTCACTGTGTATTCATCTATATACAGCAATGTTGTGACACATGCAAAGTGAGAATTAACATTTCCATTTTTATGAAAGAAAAAAGTTCAGAAAAGTTTAGATCAAAGGGCATATAAATGGAAAAGTCTAAAGCTCAAGCTCTCTGAATCATAGTTTAGTTTCCATTAGCAGTTCATGCTTCTGAATGCTCCATCAAAAAGTCTCTATCTATACCTGACACCCTCTACCCCAGATTTGCAGAGGACACCAAATATCACATGGATAAGAGAAAAATTAAATGTCCTCTTTAATACTTTGTCATCAACGATCTAAGAATACTCTACTTTTAATTAGTAAGTTTTGTAAAAGAAAATAATCATCAAAGCAAGCCATCTATTTCCTGTATGTCTACTTATATATCACTTAGGTGTGTGTAATTAATAATTTCTAGTTATTCAAAAGTCCATTTATTTTTAAAGTCAGTCTTATGATGTTACATCTTGTATCATAAACTGTATCTTTAAAATGCCCACTAGAATCTGTTTGCTAAATAAAACAGTTATAAAGTACAAAAGAAGAGAGAAGTTATAAGCAAAAAAAGAGATAAAGCATTCTCAATTGTCTCTCAAAACACTGACCATAGCCAGTATCTTAACCTTGACTGTTTTCTATCACCCCATCTTACCTACCCTAGTTCCCTGCACATTATTTTCCACAGAATGAATACTCAATGAGTATATAATTTTAAAAGACCCTGTTCCTGATATATCTCAGAAAACATTGTCAACATTGTTTCTAATTCCAGTTAAACATATCTTCTTAAGCTATGAACTTGAAAGTATTATTTTATTATTTTTTTATTTTTTTATTTTTTTATTTTTTATTTTTTTTGAGACACAGTCTCACTCTGTTGCCAGGCTGGAGTGCAGTGGCACAATCTTGGCTCATTGCAACCTCCGCCTTCCAGGTTCAAGTGATCCTCCTGCCTCAGCCTCCCTAGCTGGGATTATAGGCATCTGCCACCACACCTGGCTAATTTTTTGTATTTTTAGTAGAGATGGGGTTTCATCATGTTGGCCAGGATGGTCTCACTCTCTGGACTGCGTGATCCACCCGCCTCGGCCTCCCAAAGTGCTGGGATTACAGGCGTGAGCCACCGCACCTGGCCCAAAAGTATTAATTTTAAACGGTTGTATTCTATCAATGAAAAGAAACATATAACCTTCTTCACTTCTGTAAAGTCCTAACTCATCTAAAATATATGACTTTTAAAATACCCTAACATACCAACTTGTCAGTCATTCATCCCTTCTTCACAGTCAAAAATATTCATTTTATATTTGTAACATTAAAATTTATACATTTCAGTCCTATTACAAAAATCATTTAAAACAATTATATTTTAAATGAAATATTCACGGCCGAGTGTGGTGGCTCACGCCTGTAATCCCAGCACTCTGGGAGGCCAAGGCAGGCAGATCACGAGGTCAGGAGATTGAAACCATTCTGGCTAACATGGTAAAACCTCGTCTCTACTAAAAATACAAAAAATTAGCCGGGAGTGGTGGCAGGCTCTTGTAATCCCAGCTACTTGGGAGGCTGAGGCAGAAGAATCGCTTGAACCTGGGAGGTGGAGCTTGCAGTGAGCCGAGATCGTGCCACTGCACTACAGCCTGGGCAACAGGGAGAGACTCCATCTCAATAAATAAAATAAAATAAAATAAAATAAAATAAAATAAAATAAAATAAAATAAAATAAAATAAAATAAAATATTCACTCCTGGAAATATAAACAGACATACCTTATAGAATCCAGTACTTAAAACATATACAAGTAAATGAGATAAGAACATTCTGCAGGCAAAAGAATTAAGACATAACTATACCAAGTTGCAGAACAGATACTGAAGAAAAATCAGTGCCTCTCCACGACTGGTCAAAAAAGAGGAAGATTTCAAAATGGCATTTGATGTTTGCTCCAATAAACAGTAGAATGCCAAAAAAAAACCCTGAAATTTATTTAAATGGAAAAGACGGTTATCAAGTTTTAGAACTCAGAGAGACCTCAGAGATTTACATGGTCAAACCCTTATTTTAAGTCTGATAGAACAAATTTCCAAACTTTATATACAGGGTTAGGGCTTTTCAAGCAGAAGCCTCCATTCTAACTAGAGAAAACAAGGAATTTTGTTTCCCCTCAATTCCATGCTCATCTGCAAGTGGAATGTGCTGCCTCCTTTTGTCCTGACTTACCCAGATATAGCAACCTTTGACCTTTCAGAGCAACAATATAACCTGCAACACTCTGGGTATTTCTGTTGTAATTGTCACTGCCCTTCGCCATGTCCAAGGTCATATATCAAGCATTTGGCAGAGCCAGGAAGATAATTTTTTATTTCAAATCCTCAGAACATTTTTCCCTGTATATCACCTCAGGAGTAGATTGGATACACATATAGTATTTTTTTAAATATTCATAAAGTGGCTATTTTCATGCAGTGTATTTTAATATCATTTGAGAAAATTGAAAGATCTTTATATCTATAAAAATAGCCACCATTTATCTCTGCTCTTTGTAATACAGGTGCCCACCTTTTCCCTGAGAACACTATCATCAATACACAGTAGTTTGTGTCTGTAATATATCATTCACATATATCAAAACCAAAATGCATGTACTCCCAGTAGGCATAAACTCTTGGTGAGCTGCACACAGTCTAGCTCAGTCTCTGCATATTTTGTGGCTGCCCAACAATGACAAATGATTACTTCAGTGTCATTAAAGATCTTAGATCAAAGGATACAGTTTATAAAAATTATTATGAGAAAATTTATTCCTACAATATCATTGTAAATGTTAAATAATTAGATCCATTGGCTGTTTATTAGCAATGCTGAGATCAAATAGTTTCAGATGGGTTTCATTTGCATATATAAAGAATACAGTGCTAATAGATAATTTGGCCTGGCATATTTAGGTTGTCTCTTTTTATTTAAACACTTCTATTGGACTTAATGTAACTTTCATGCACTGATAGAGTAAAATGGTTGCAGTTTCCTAGTTTTTGCTCAGTATCACTTTGCTGTAAAAATTCAGATGCAACCCTTCGGGTTTTTCAAGTTTGAGGGGAAAAAAAAATCACAGCAGTAGTTGCCTTTGTATATTCTATATAACAAGAGCTCTTTATTTTGAACTCAGTTTTTCTACTTCAGCTGTAAACAATGCTATTGTTTTTAAGCAAAATCATGAATATACTGCAGATGCATAAAGTATATTACAAAATTTAATAACCTCTATAAAAGCAGAATGGAGCATTCACAACCACTGGAATCTATTCAAAAATATCAAACATTCTGTCCCCCTTCAGCAAGTGCTAGCACACATCCATGAGCTAAGCAAAGCTGCTGTGAGTGAGCTCTCTAGTTCAAAGACAAAGGTGATAGTATGGAGCATTGCGATGGAGCAGCCAAATGGCAGTTAGAAAGCCTGGAATCTGTCTGTGTCAAGATTTAGCCTTTTTTTTTTTCTACTCTCACAAATGAAATGGCATTCTATCCCTAATGAATACTATCTTTTTAGTAGCATCCTTCATTGTATTCATTTCAGTTTTACAAAGCATATTAGCACTGTTTGGTATCACCTATTGTTCTCATCATCTAAAATAGCAAGTAATATTTTGGGGAAAAATGACAATTTTGTGTGAATTACAAGAAGAAAACCAACTGCTGGAGATTAAGACACATTCATACAAAAATACACTTTAGATGTATTTCAATTATTCAGGTAGAAGATCATGAGAAAACACGTCTAGGGAAATAGAATTTGCAAAAATGTTAGTAAGGTTTAGGAAAGCTAATTAGAGTATTGATCTTCAATAAGCCATTTAGGTGAAAGTTTGTCAGTTTATTTAGGAAGAAATATGTGTATGTAAGATCACTAGAAAGAAAAGATAAATAAGGAAAAATATCATATTACTAATGTATCCTATTAAACCTTACTTGTAAATTATGTACCCATTCTTTTTTTTTTTTTTTTTTTTTTTTTTGAGACAAAGTCTTGCTCTGTTGCCCAGGCTGGAGTGCAGTGGCATGATCTTGGCTCACTGCAACCTCTGCTTTCTGGGTTCAAGCAATTCTCATGCCTCAGCCTCCCGAGTAGCTGGGATTACAGGCACGCACCACCATGCCTAGCTTATTTTTGTATTTTTAGTAGAGACAGGGTTTCACCATGTTGGCCAGGCTGATCTCTAACTCCTGACCTCAAGTGATCCATCCACCTGGCTGGCCTCCCAAAGTGCTGGGATTACAGGCATGAGCCACCACGCCCAGCCCCATTTATTCTTGTAGTCAGACTTAGTGCCCACAGTGACTGTAATACAAAGCAAAATGACAGTATCATAGTCACTATGTATTTTACTTAATACTGAAATACTTGTACTACTATTGCCAACATTTTATCAATATCAAGATATAATTTAGCACCAAACAAAAAATCTTTTCCAGTTTAACCTTGTTGTCAATGGTTTTATCATCTTAGGTAGAGATTTTGATGCAGTGTTATTTGTATAATTTAATGGAGTCACATATGCTAGTTGTTTAGAAAATCTTTGAAGTAGAGTGTGACTGTATACATTTTGTTACAAAAGGTTTTCAATAATTGTCATATTTTTTCCTTCTTATCAGGGTTATGGCAATACAGAAAAACACTTTCTAGACTTTATTTGATTCAAAAAATTTCAGCTGGGCACGGTGGCTCATGCCTGTAATCCCATCACTTTAGGAGGTTGAGGTGAGCAGACTGCTTGAGCCCAGAAGTTTAAGACCAGCCTGGACAACATGGTAAAACTCCGTTTTTACCCCCCGACACACACAAAAATATATATATATACAAAAATTAGCCAGGCATAGTGGTGCACACCTGTAATCCCGGCTACATGGGAGGCTGATATGAGAGGATCAACCTCTGTTTGAGCCCTGGAGGCAGGGGTTGCAATGAACTGAGATTGTGCCACTGCACTCCAGCCTGGGTGATAGAGCGGAACCCTTTTTCAAAAAACAAACAAAAAAAATTAATTCCAGGTATGCCTTAAAATGTAAATGCCTCAAGTTTTAGATTATTAATACCAAATAATGGTATTATTCTAACAAAAACACGAATATTTCAATGAATAAAAGTATATACTGAAATACCAAGAGCTACTATTGCTAACTCTGGGTATTAAAAGTCTAAACTGGTTCAACCATTGTGGAAGACAGTGTGGCGATTCCTCAAGGATCTAGAACTAGAAATACCATTTGACCCAGCCATCCCATTACTGGCTATATACCCAAAGGATTATAAATCATGCTGCTATAAAGACACATGAACACGTATGTTTATTGTGGCACTATTCACAATAGCAAAGACTTGGAACCAACCCAAATGTCCATCAATGATAGACTGATTAAGAAAATGTGGCACATACATACCATGGAATACTATGCAGCCATAAGAAAGGATGGGTTCATGTCCTTTGTAGGGACATGGATGAAGCTGGAAGCCATCATTCTCAGCAAACTATCACAGGGACAAAAAACCAAACACCGCATGTTCTCACTCATAGGTAGGAATTGAACAATGAGAACACTTGGACACAGGAAGGGGAACATCACACACCGGGGCATGTTGTGGGATGGGGGGAGGAGGGAGGGATAGCATTAAGAGATATACCTAATGTAAATGACAAGTTAATGGGTACAGCACACCAACATGGCATATGTATACGTACGTAACAAACCTGCACGTTGTGCACTTGTACCCTGGAACTTAAAGTATAATAAAAAAAATCTAAAAGATTTGGTTGAATTATCTCCTTTTATGGATATGAACAAAAACTGTCCATGTATGTTTTCAAGCACATAGGTTGCCTTAGTGAATATGCCTATGATTATACTTCTCCCTCTCAGCAGGGCACAAATTGCACATTAGGAGAATAACATTGGTTACTACTATTATTAGCACTGCTAGCAGCCAAGACTATACATATGTCTGATATATCAAACTCACTGCTCCAATCTGATAGGTGAGTCCTTTTTATCGTTTTTTTTTTTTTAAATTGTATTCGGTTGCCAACATTTAAAAATTGTTAGATTTCACATTAAAATGTCCATCTTTTGCATGAAAATCCAAACTTGTGGTTTCCCTTGAAAACTGGAATATCTGGTAACAGTAGGCTTATATTCCTATTTGGCAAAAAAAAAAAATGGCTGTCATCGGAATCCAGTTAAGAAATGGCTTGTGTTCCCCACATGGCCACAGTTCGCACCCAAGACATGACTCAAATTAACTGCTTGGACCCTTGGGGGCATTTGAATTTGCTGACCCCGAACTTTAGGTGTACTGGATACGTAAGTGCCAGGAGCATGAGAGATGCTGGGTCTATGTGTAGAAACTATTATACCACTGTTATAGTGTTTGCAGTGTTCTGGGCATGGGCCCAGGAAAATTCATTGTTGGAGTAGGGGTTAGAATCCATCAATATTATAACTTGGTTATTTTCCACTCCTGTCTTCTTCCCTATGTTTAATGCAGTGGGGAAAATTAAGCCTTTCTTCTCTGCTTTGGAGCAACCAAAACAGCCATCTGTCTCACTCCAAGCAGGGAAGAATTGTGCTCATTGTCATTACTCTTATAAGGTCATATTCCTCTCCCTCTCCTCTTTCCAGAAGATAACTGCCACATTGGTTGCTTTCAAAGATTTCAGAGACACCAGTTACAAAATATTAATGCATAAGCAAAAAGATACAGAGCCAAAATTTTCTTTATTCTTCCTATTCCATTTTTTAATTTACAATAAATGTAATGTCATCTTATAAGCTATACCTCTTGGGAATAGCATTAAAAATTAGAAAGATAATCCACTTCCTACATCTGATCTTATGCAAAGAAGTAAACCTCACCAGTCCCTATGCCACTCTCATCTCCATAACCACCATTTACTCAAAGTATTTCCCGGTGTGGTGTTCCCAGAGTTCAGGAAGCATGTTCTGTGGGGTAAGGGAGCAATTCACTGTGAAAATAAATTTGAAACACATCCCAAGGGTCCCAAGTACACAGGATGGGCAAGTTCAAGTAGTATAAGAGTTGGCCAGAGAATGCATAAAGAAAAAAATGGCCTGCTTTTACGAGGTCCTTTCCAGGAAACACAAAGCAACTACGTAGTGTCCCAGGCTTTTGACCCTAGAGATCATGTGAGGTGGAGACAGATTAAGGTGCTGAAATCCACACCTGTGCCTGGTATTCCACCACTGAGGTTGAAAAGCAGACCCACCAGTGATGAGCCCATATTACAATTTTCTACACTCAGACTGTAGTGTGACTTGATAGCAACTCTGTAACACTTAGCATATCATATCAATTTGCTGGTTAAATACTTTCTTAACTGACAAAATATGGCCATTGGTAAGAAAAATATAGCTATTAAAGTAATTTTTAACATGGATAATAGATTTAAGGAAAAATACAGTTTATTGTAAGAATGAATCAGAAATACATCAATTACATTATCCCAACTAAAACATGAATGGAAAAAGAATCAGGGGAAAATAAAGTCAAAATTTTATTGAAGCCAAATCTGGAGATTTATTTAAAAAATTTAACACATCAGATTTAATCCCCTCCATACTACATAAAAAGACCCTTTGGAATAATGTTTTCTTTTTCTAGCTTATAATGTGCTGTTTGAGTTTCTTCTTTGATGTGACAAATCCCAGAGCTTTTAAATATAATTTGTCAATAAGCTGCTGTATTATCATTTACACCTGCTTTCTATGTCCTACCAAAAAGTTAATAATCAATTAAAATCCAATTAAGACCCCCCTTGGTTGCACACAATCACAGATAAAAAGTCACATTGAGGTTGATTGCATTCCATGTTCTAAGCAACAACCAATGGGCAATAACGATTTTTCATTTTATATGAGATGAAGGGAAAAAAATCATACGGTCTTAAAAATACACTTGTATCTACTTTTTATTCTCTTATTTTAAAAAGATAACGTCTGAAAATTAAATGGAAATTCTTTTAAATACCAAGCTAAAATGGATACATTTTAAAAGCTTGTATGTGTTAAAGGCTTATTTAACTTACAAAAGACACAACTTTTTTATAATCCTAAAAAATTAGCTCATTTTGCTTTTGCCTTTCTCAAAGGAAGCAAGCAATGCAAACACCAAACTTTCAAAATTCCTTTTAAAGTTTTACACTGAAACCAGAAATAACACTGTGGCAAAGAGAGACTCAAATAAAAAGCATTCTAATATAAGAAAGCCATCGTGAATTTATAGAATTTACTTATTTTTAACCAAATTCACTGCTAAACACATGCACAGAATATTTTCAAATTCTTTTTTTTTTTCTTTGCAGGTGTGATTCTACATCTGCAATATCTTGGTTACAGAAAACTCTATATCTGAAATAAGCTATTCTAATTAGCAACCTACATTCAGGACTGGTGTACCTAATTCCATGGATTAAGCAGCAATATAGCTACTTAGTAGTAAAAATGAATCTGTAATTGAAATCCTTCCATTGAAATGTGAAAAATTCCTCTGAGTCTAGGTGTTATATCATGTAAAACAAAGATCCTGAGTCAATAAATAGGAATCCAAACTTCTAAGAATCACAAAATTTTACTGCTACAGATGAGGAAACTGAAGCACTGTCTTGTCCAAAATGGCAATCAGTGTGAATGAATCAGAAGCATATAAATTATATTATTCCAACCAAGGCAAAAGTGGAAGTAAAAATCGGGAAATCCAGAAGAACTTAAATATCCAACTCCAAGTACATGATTTTTCTAAACACTTATTTCTCTTTTTTGAAGGGAAGGAGAATGTTGGGTGGGATAAGAGACACACAGAGAGGCAACTGAGAAAACTGGTGTTTTAGATTAGCTCATTTTAAGTCCACTCCGGATTTAAATCCCAGATTAACCTTCCTATACATTGACACTACTATGCCAAATTTTTCAATACAAAGACAATACTAAAAAGTTATATTCAAAAGAAACAAGCTATCATAAACAAAAAGGAGTAATAACCCCTACAGAGCAAATTTTAGTCTTAAGAGCTATGAACCTATGTGCAATTAATGTGCCTTCCCCAAGTAATTGCCTGCATTATGTAAATGTGCACATCTAAATCCCAAAACTTATGCAGCTATGAAATAAGACTGGGTTTGGTTTTCTTCGTTGTTTGTATGTTTTTCAGTCTTCTCACTTGGTACACCATACTTCATGGACACAGCCCATTTGTGGGCAGAGTCAAACCAAAGGCTAGGTGAACCACTATTACACATTTAACAGAAGGAGCAAGTGCTATTTGAGTATGGTTGGTAACAGTTGCAGCTATTCATCATGAAATCATCTCTCTATTTAAAGATACACCCTGAATTAGTGTGTCCATGAGTAAAGCAGTTTTTTCTAAAATTTCTGAATCTCTATTACGCCTCTAAAATGTTTTCAAAGATAGAAGTTGTCTTAGTCTGTTTTCTGTTGCTTACAAGAATACCTGAAACTGGGCAATTTATGAAGAAAAGGAATTTATTTCATATAGTTATGGAAGCTGAGAAGTCCAAGGTTGAGGGACTGCACCTGCTGCTGGCCTTCTTACTGGACTCCCTGCAGACTCTTGAGGCCGCATGGCAAGGGGGCTGAGTGTGCTAGCTCAGGTCCCTCTTCTTCTTATAAAGCCCCCAGTCTCACTCCTGGATAACCTATTAATCCATTTATCCATTGATCTAGCGATGAAGGCAGAGCCCTCATAACCCAATCACCTCTTAAAGGCCCCACCTCTCAATACTGCCACACTGGGGATTAAATTTGGACATGAATTACAGAGGGAACAAACATTCAAACCGTAGAAGGAGTGTGCTCAGGATTAGTACTGCTCCTTGTAGTTCTAGTAGGGCTTCAACATTTATTGACCAAAGAAGACAATTTTATGAAGCTATTATTCCAAAATACTAAAATGTGGTAGCAAATCATCACTTCAAATGGGTCAATGTCATTCTCAATAAGGACAAGCCACATACTAAGAAGACAACGTATTTTTAAGACTATTCAATATATTATATTTTCAAGCTATATGTTAAGAGTCTAACTTTAAAAAATGAAAGCTACTTAAATTATGTTACAAGCAAGAATGAAAGTACCTATCACTCAATATAGTAAAAGAGAGGAACACTAAATAAGTCACGGTGCCCAACAATTGGTTCCATCTATATCATATTCACTGTTTCCTCCCCTGACCCAGACCCCCCCCTCATGTTTCTCTCATTTTCTCCACACCAAGGTAACATTGCCTTTGATGAGTAGGTAGGAGGACAATTCAGATTGTCTCTCTGAAACATGAAAACAATCCATTGACTGGATGTATTTAGTCAATAACTTGTCAAATCAGAGTTGCATAAGCCAAAATGGCTTGAGAAAACTAACCCTATTTGTGACTAACCAGCATAGTCAGCTCAACAAAAATAATCTAAATGTTTCAGTCTACTTTTATTTCACAGCTTCTATTGGATTTTACCTTATCATAAATTTATTATGCTATAAATATTTTTATTTACATTATATAAGATGTGTCATGGAAAGATAAAGCCGACTTGTCTGGGTAATAACATAATATTGTGTAGATTTTCCTTGTATGCTTAACATCTATTGTTCAGGTGTTACTAATAGATTAATACTATTTCTTATTCCTACCTTTGGCAGACATTGCTGGTTGCCTACCAAATGGTAATTTCCCACTTTTTCCTTGCTAAATGTACTCTGACTTTGTTTAGATATCAGAAAGCTGGCTGGACACGGTGGCTCACGCCTATAATTCCAGTACTTTGGAAGACCAAGGCAGGCGGCTTGCTTCAGCCCGGGAGTTTGACACCAGCCTGAACAACATGGCAAAACCCTCTCTCTACAAAAAAATAAATACAAAAATTAGCAGGGCATGGTGGCATGTACCTGTAGTCCCAGCTACTCAGGAGGCTGAAGCAGTAGGATTGCTTGAGCCCAGGAGGCAGAGGTTGTAGTGAGCTGTGATAGAGCCACTGCACTCCAGCCTGGAAAACAGAGCCAGACCCTGTCTTTAAAAAGAAAAGTAAAGAAAGCCTTATCCCTCATGGTGGAAGGTGGTATGTTCTTTAGTTTAAACCCATCAAGGAATTCCATTCTCCTGGCTATAGTCAACATAGGTATAGCTACATTTCCCAACTGCTGACCAATGAGTCATAAAGGTATATTTGATAAACTTCATCTAAGATTTCAGGGAAAGTTTTCTTCTTCTTTGCAGAGTGATACATGGCAGAACCTCTCCCTGTCATGCGTTTGGATAATGTTGAGTGAGGACTCAAGGAGAAAGCCAGTGAATTAAGCATTGAGACATTGGATCAACCAGTCAAGGAGGTGCCTGCCATCCACTTTACTTCTTGTTATGTAGGATAATAAAATGCCCTTTATGCTTTACCACATTTTAGAACGAGTTATGTGTGGCCAAAATCATCCTAACCAATATACCTCTCTTCAGAACAACAACAAAGTAAGAACTTGTAGATTCTTTCTTGCTTTACGTAGGAATTTGCAGCATATAAATAATTTAAGAATGGGTACTAGGTGTATGTGAGAATACATGTTAGTGTTTCACAAACAACAAAGTATATATCCACTTAAAAATCTAACTACATTTTACTCGGCCTAATTAAAACACACCTTAAAAAGTCTCGAAATGAACCTACATTTAGTACATATTCCTTTTCAAATGTCCAGAGTATTTTAATATGTAAATACCAGATTCCTGTTCCATCAAACTTTGTCTATAATATAATGCAACAGAGTAATGGAATCTTCATATTGTTCTAATCAAACAGTTGATTTTATAGTGAGAATGTTTTCACCAATGACTTAAACTAAAATATACCTCAGATTAAAGTGCTTGAAAGCTTGAACCTCTTCGAGTAGCCTCACCATTTTCTCATCCATTTGGATTATGCACAGGTGTGCTTTGAAGTTCATAAGCCATGCCTCAGTACTTTTAAAATAACTTCTGGAAAATTTAAAATGCAGAGTGTGAATCAGCCCATGCTCAGGAAGGCGGGCCATCTTCATCATATTTACAATTATGACATATTAGATTATTTTCTTTCAGTGTTCGAAAGACCTACACTTTCCAAAAAGGAAATACAGTTCTTTATATCTGGTTCACATAATCCAGACCTGCAGTGTCAGTGCCTGAAACAAATTACTGTTTATATTAGAAACTTAGTTTAATAAATTAGGTCTGGTCTATGAACTGTCAAAGTCCTTCTAGTCTGCAATTCATATATAACAGATGCCTTTTCTATGACTCTTAACCAGAAGTGGCCAACGTGATTGTTTCCTCCTTGCCATTACTACATTCTGTAGGTTTAGTTATCTACTGCCCACAGAGAATTAAAAACAATTTAAAAGGGCATCTGGAATAAAGCACTCTAAGGAAAAAAATCTTTCCATATACAATAACTTTCTGTGTAGGTCAGAGAATTATTCAATAATTGGCACTTGTTTAAATAGACCATTCAGGATCGGTTTGGTTTTCCAATCACAGATTGAGTTACAGGAGTATTTATTCCAAACTTACATTGGAAGTCCTAATTTCCAGCATATTTGTGGCACCACTGTGATTAACAGAGTAGCTAATTTTTGTATAACATATGAACACATTTTTCAAAAGTGTTGTAAATAATTCACTAATTTTTCCACATTGTTTATAAATTATGAATTTTAGTTTTTACTTGCCCTAGTTTAGAAAATGCACCGGTAAAACAGGAGAGCTAAAAGCAGTAATTTTAGCTTACGAATGTATACAATTTAAATTTCATGAGGAAGCTGGGTTCTTCTATCTTTTATGCTACTTTCCCCACAAGCGTCCCTTTAAGAGTGGGATCAAGAAATCCGTGCCTGCCATGTATGGTGTCTCCACCTCTTACATTGTTTGCACTCAACACAGGAACAGTTGTTGCATAAAAAGTTAATAACGATGCACATCTACAAAGATTAATAAGGCCATGGAAATTCACATCAACTCAAATCCACACTTATAAATTCAGACACACAGACACTTTTTAACTGCTAGTATTTTTTGTTAAGGCTCCACTTAGAAATGCTATGTTACAGTGTGTTTCCTTTTGAGTAGTTTGGTCAGCAAACTTTCAATTCTAGAATTTCTATGCAAACAATTAAGAGTAATTGTATTTGCTCCTATCTTGAGAGCTAAACAGAGAGGATGCTCAGTGACATTTGAACATTTATGTCCAGTAATATATTTACATTTCAATATAGCAGAAGTTACCCTTAGCATGAAATGAGATGATTTCCTTACAATAACAAAAATGTCAGTCAAGCAAATGTTTTTAATCTTACAGGTTTAAAGTATTCACAGTAGCTACTGCAAGTTGTTCTTAATATGAAGATATTAGCCCGTTAGTACAATGAAAATGCAGGTAAAAAATCATCAATGTCTCTCTACAAAGCAACACAGTGCTTTGTGAATATGTAATCTTATTTTAAATTTCATTCTTGTTCTTCGGTCTTTCAAATGATTATAGTTTTCCTGGAGTGAAAATAACTTAAACTTACTAGACTTTTTAATATCTTTACAGCCAAACTGCTACAATTCTCACTTTGCTAATCTGTAATTCTCACAGAAGAACTGGCAGCGTTACCCGGCCTTTAGCAAGGACCCTGAAGTGAAATCACTTAAAACTTCCTCTATTTTAATTTCAAATGATATATTCTGTATATAAACCACACTTACATGCTCTATCAAATATATCGACATGTACCTGTGATGTTAACATTTCTTCCTAATACCATCAGGCTGGGGACGTTCATGCATCGTAGAAGCTTTGGCTTACTCTACAACAGGTAGAGAGCTTAAATTTCAACAGCTAGTTACCCCGCTTACTTCTCTGAAGGCCCAAGCATTATAGGCTATTTGTCTAAGATGCTACAGCTGAGTAGGGGCAGATTTAGAGATTGAACCTGCATCCAATTTCCTTAATAGTTTTTTAACCCTCATTGTTCATTGGAATCAGCCGGGAGGCTTTGAAAACACTACCAACATCTCAGCCCTACTGTACATTCTCAGCTAATGTGGGGTGGGGCCAACCTCGGGTATGTTTTCATGTCTTCCTGGTATTATAACATGGCCTATATTTATAACCACTGGACCACTGCTCTTTGAATCACAATTTTATATTTCAAAAGATTAGAATTAGATTTTCAGTTGTATCATCATCCTTTCACAGTCTCAGTTTCTCCTCTGAAGGCAGTTGAAAAATGTATTTGAATATTCAGAGAATGAAGCTTAAATTTGATAAGTAGAAACTCCATTTGATAAGAACCCAACTGTGCAAGACCCTTAAGGAACTTACAGCTTCTGCACTACAGTTTCAATAGACATAAACTAATTGTAAGGAAATATTAACATATATTTTAAGAAGTAAAGGGAGACAAAACATCTTAATAGAGGTTGAACAAATACTTAGTAAAACTCAGTATCTATTTACTCCTAGAAATCTAAGGATATAATATAATAAAAAGAACCTAAGTATAATAAAATTAAACATCTTTTCCAAACTAATTGTGAATTCACAAATCAACATCTCTCATGTATGCTAACAACATACCACTTTTTCACCTAAAAAAAATTATACCTCCCCCATTGTCGCCATCACATTTTCAATATTTATTTAAAATATCCTGTGTCAATGAGCATTTTAGGAAACTAGGCACTCTCATACTCTGTTGATGATAATGTAAGTTAATATTACACAATCTTTGCTTCTTAGAGGCAAATTGTCAATATGTTTTACAGCCTTAAATTGTCCATTTCTTCTGACCCAACAATCCTACTTTTAGAATTTTCTTTAAGAAGATATAAGAATGATACATGAGGATTTACATGAAAAGATGCTTAGTATACCATTACTACTAATAGCACAAAATACTGGAATTAACCTAAATGGCACTAATACGAAAAAAAGCAAATAAATGATAGCCCAGCCATATGATGCAATATTATCACCCAGTAAAAAATCTACTCTGAAGAATATTTAATGACACAGGAAATGGTCACAATAGAATATTAAATTAAAAAGCTATGAAACAGGACAATATATACTCAACCCTTGTTTTGTATATGTATACACAAACCTATATATGTATACATATACAAACCTATATATGTATATATATTCACATATATATACACACTTACATACATATATGTGAATACATGCCTGTAAAGAGAGATTTGATTTACACATATATATTTATATATATACAGACATCAAAATACAGATATGAAGGAAAACTACCAAAATATTATCAGTTGTTAATTTGGGGTAGGGAAATTATAAGTACTGTACTTTTTATTTCAGTTTGTATAACTTTTTGAATTTAAAAATTTTTATACCCAACATGAATTTATTTTAGAGTCAGGAAAAAAAAAAAAAAGTTGTATTTTCCAGAAAGCCCAGATTTTGTTTCAGGATTAGTGTCAGTTTACTCGAATTTACTAAATGTTTAGAGTGCCATTTATATTACTACCTGGGAAGAAAGGCACAAAGATGCAGGAGAAAAGGATACCAAACCAAGGGCTCCCACAGTGAATTAAACTGATTCTCAAGAGATCTTAGAGGAAATGAAGAATAAAAGAGTATTGAATGCCTACAATGAACTAAGCCTGGACTAGGTATTTTTCATCTATCACCTAATTTACTCCTCTCTGCAACCCTATGAGGAGCATATTATTATCTCAAATTTCCATTTTACAGATGAAAACACTGAAGCTCCAAGTGGTTAACCTGTTTACAGTTAGTGATCCAAGCCCGTGGCTACAAACTCCACGCACTTTCCCATTACCTCCCTGTTCTCCTCACAGAAGTGGAAAACTCTGTGATGCCCAGCTTCAACCAATAACTTGGAAATTCTTGTATCTCAGGGGCCAAATTGAGATTCTGATCAAAACATAAATTAATCCGAACTGAGGTTATTTCTTTTTGCAATGGCATCTGGGAGCCAGTAAGAGTGAAAAGGAACAGCTGCGAGCAGCCGTCGGCTCCCCGAAGTGTTGCTTCAGAAGTGTCACTTAGGCAGCAACTACAGGCAGAGGAATGTTGGGCATCACCCCTCTGGGCTCGCTGGGGTGAAATTTTAAATGAGTGCAAATCATTCCCCCACAAATAGTTTGATCTATATCTGATACTTAAAATATCTAATACATGAAATGTTATAACTTTTAAAATATTTTGCTATTTCTACAATAACTGAAACAAGAGATCAGGAAAAACTGGTGTTTCTACACCATCTTGGTTCCAGCTTTTAACCAAAAGCCAAATAGAAGCAAAGAAAAATTCTAGTGCCTAGAATTTAACATCAGCTGGCAGGAAAGACCCTATTAATTAGACTGTCAATTTGCAACTCACAATATCTTTTATGTTTCTTAACATTCCTAATATAAGCCTGAGGACTTGATGAAAACTATTTCTCTTTAAAAATATCACCCTTTCTGACTGTGCATACTTAGGACAATCCAAATATTGGATTATTACACTCAAAAATTAAATTCAAACTAGAAGCAATGCAGAATGAAGCAAGTTTAGAGCCCATATTGTATTTTCAAGCATAATTTTGATTATACTTCATATATCATTCCATTTAAGATAGTCCAGTACATGATGTTGGATTATCTAATAGTGATTATACTAAATTACATGAAGTCAAAACTACTGAATAAAAGGAATAGTGTTTTATTCATGTCACTAACATCCTAACTCCCAAAAACAACAAGAAACTTAAAATTCTCTTGTAAGCATTCAAAATACTGCATTTTTCTAAAAACCAATATTTTTTCATTTCTGACCCTCTCCCTCAATAGTGCTGTAAGACAGGGAAGCCTTCAGTAGCTCAGGCTCAATTTCCAGAAAAGTAAAGAAAGATTCCCTCGATCTTGTTACAGGGTCAGGAATTTCCAGCATAAACATCATTTCTAAAGTATCCTTTTAATGGATAAGTATTTTAATTTCCTGAAGGTGCTAACATTGTGGAATTAATTGATCCCTTTTCATAATTTCTCACCTAATGCTGTGATGATCCCTAAGGAAATAGGGCATAGTGTGAATACGATTTGATAGGAAAAGCATATTGTGGTACCACAGTGAAACTTGGACAGGCAGAATTAAGAAGCTGCAGTTTTTAAATTGCTGAGTAAAAGACTGTAAACACACTTCCCTCAGTTGATGTTATAGCTTAGGACCAAACTATAGAAGCTTCACATAAATATTTTTTTCTCTTATCTTTCTATATTGGTAATTAATTTATTGTAAGTTTTATTTAGCATCAATTTCCTATACTCACTTTTTTGGTAAGGTTTTACACGTCCTTTTCTTTAGCTGCTTTGGGATCCAATAATGTCAATTTGACTCAAGGATATTGGAACACTTGGACAATACTAACTACACTGACTCAAAATAGTCTTGGAATGACTCTGATGGGAGATTTCAGACTCTCTTTGTATAAATTAGAACAGTTAAGGATATGGTTTTCCTAGCGCTAAAAAAGCAGGCATCATTGTACCATTTTTCCCACTTTCACATATCACCAACATCTTTCAAAATTTTAATTGTAAGTCTGCACATGTTCACAACGATCAAAAGTAAAATGTGTCTCTAATACAAACCTCAAATGGAAGTCTATAATCTTTGAGATATAGAAAGTGAATCATGCTACTTTATTCATTTCTAGCTTTCTTTATGCTATAATCATAAATACTTACAAGACAGCTGGTAGAAACTGACTCCAAATGAGAAATTTATACTTTACATTTTAGTAAAATAAGTTATTTTAAAACTTGGTCCCACATTCTTGAACACCTAGGCATGTCTCTTGTTTGAATTTTCATTGGAACTCCCTTTTGAAGCAATACTAACTTTGCACTATGAAATATTTTAATGAATTCAACTTCTAAACAATTTCTAAATGCAGCATCTAACCAGGCTCTGTAGCTTGTACTTATAATAAAATGAATAGTTTAGTTTTTATTTAGCCGCCATTTTCTCTTTTCATTTTAAAACACTGGAAATAGTTGAATGTTTTCTTGTTTTATCCTGGTTATATTTTTGAATTCTCTAAAGTTTTAGCTTATTATATGCATAATCAAGACTAACATCATCTACGAGCCCCTGGAGGCTCTCGTTCTCCCAGTATAGTTTCAACATAATTTTTGCATGAAAAAATAGATTCAGAGAAACCTCTTATGGAAAATATTAATACACCATACATTCTTACCCTTGTTTGTATCTGTTTGGAGCAGCATTTCCATAGTTTATCACCATACTCACTAATATTCAACCATTATCTATAACTATAATTAAGTTAACTATAACTATAATTAAAATAACTATAATTAAGTATTTGGGGTTAATAAAATAGTGAAAAATAATCCTAATGATGTGTTCTTGAGATTATGGGGGAAAAGGAAATGTTCCAAGGTAAATAAGGAATTGAAATCAAAGATATACATGATGAATTAGTTTCATTTATTTAGGCATACCCTACCTTGGTTTAAAAAGTATTCATGGCAGCTTAAAATAATATATGGCAGGTCTGGATTTACTGTGTTAATCCATTATGAGTGCAGGAAAGGAAAATTAGGGTTAGGAAGAAGTAAAGGGACAAGATTTCAACTTAATTCCAAAAACTTCAAAAAAATAATATCAAGCATCTTTACAAAAGGCACTGCACTACAACAGTCTTAAGGGTTTTACAAAAAAAATTATATTACAAGCCACCATTTCTACTCATAATTTGTCTGAAGTACAAAAATGTATGTTAAAAAGTAATTGTGTGTCAGTCCTGCACTGGGGAGACCAAGACAAATCAGACATGTCTCAGTTTTGCAGTGTAGAAAAGGGAGATGGATGAGCAATTTCACTGTAATAGTTCTGACATATTCTATTTGTTGGGATAAAATGATGTATAAACCACAATAATGCAAGATTTCATAAGAGAAGTACATTGAAAATAATTGAGTAATGATGAGAAATACCCATATAATGAGAGGTAATATAGTAAATAATAAGTGTCAGCCATGTGGAAATACACTAAGCTTTATATGTGTTACTCTTCCTCTTAGAACAATCCTACCACCACTTACAGTGAAGACTGAGGCACAGAAAATTTAGGTAGCTTCCCAAAGGACACTATTAGGAAAGGAAGTTAGTATTTCTGTCTCTAGAGACTGGGCATTTAACCATACTGCCTCTCTAAATGCAAGGAGATTTATGGGAAGGAGAGCCCATGACTGGAAGAGGTTGTTGATAATGACTCAAGGGAGTTGGCATATTTTGTTTATTTAACAAATATTATTGAGTATCAGTTGGGTGTCAGAAGACACTATGCTAGACACTAGGAATATACCGATCAATAAATAACAGAAGTATATTAGATAAGCCAAACTGATGGGTAGGTAGTATTTCAATAAGAAGAGATGAAGAGGGGTAGGGATTAGGAAGAAAAGGGCATCTCCCCATGAAAGTCACTATATTAATAAATATGTCAAAACAAGAGCAAATGATTGCTTCTGCATTTAACTGCAGGAAATATATAAATTTACATTCTATTTGAAGGGGAAGAAGAGAGGAGGAGGCAGAAGCCTTTGGACATTTGGTAGCAGCCTCTAAAATGACTCTATCTAATCCCTACCTCCTGATATTCATGCCCTTGTGCAACCCTCTCCTTGAATATGGTCAAATTGATTGAGTCACTTTTAATGAATAGAATATGGCAAATGTGAAAAAGTGTCATTTCTGAGATATGTGACTTCCATTTTGGGTTCTCTCTCATACTGTTTCTTGGAACACTCACCCCAGGGGACATCAGCTGCCACATCATGAGACAGCCCTGTGGAGAGGCCCACCTGGTGAAAAAGCAAAAGCTGCCAACAACCAGGTGAAGACATGTGAAAGTGGAGAAAGTGGATTGTGCCTCCTGCCCCAGCGAGCCTCAGGTGAGGCCCCAGCCAACAACATGACTACCATCTCATGAGAGAACTGAGTCAGGAGCTCCCAGCTAAGCTGGACCCATATTCGTGACCCCTAGAAACTGTGAGGTCGTAAATATTTGCTGTTTGAAGCTGCGGTTTGGGAGTAATGTGCTCCTCAGCCATAGATAACAAATAAGGCATTCTACAGCACTTCAGCCTCTCTCATTATTATTCCATTTTGAACCACCCATATACAGATCTTCATCATAGAATCCCATTTTATAAATAACCCTTTTTAAGAAGAAAGAAGGCAGGAAAGCAGAGAGAAAGGGGTTGGAAGGGAGGAAGGAACAAAAAGGTACAGCAAAGGCATCTCTGCACATATCCTCTGACCCAGAGAGAAACTAACAAATGTGTGAGACTGTGTGTACACAGAGTCCACCTGGACACGAGTTTTATCTGCATTTTGTGGGGATGTTTTGTGATCCTGACGTTTACATAGCTTCTGTTTATTATTTTTTATTTTCTTCTGCTTGCACTTTGAATGGGGTGACAGTGTTGGCTGAATCAATTTGAAAGCGTGGCCATTTCCTTAGCTGACGTTTATTCCTTCAAGATTGCTGCTTCTTAATTAATCATTTGATTAATATTATCGGTGGTCCAGAAGTTCAATTAGAGAGACACCTTTTTATAGACAATAAACAAGCATGTAACAACTGATATAACCCACCATGTATGGGTAGTTAAAGTGGGCATTATTTTTTATTTGCTTTCAAACTGCAGAGCAGGCTGAACAATAGACAATAAACAAGTTGTTTTGTATGGCTTTTGTGGGACTTGAAAAGAATTTTGACTTAATGGAAACTGATGCTTTGTTGAAAGAACAAAAGAAGCAATAGAAGATCCACATGGTAAGTGCCCCAAACATATCTTCACAAATGATACACTTACATTTAACTCGAAAATTGGGTGGTAAAGGTTAGTTTGTAGTGTAGAATTAATAGATGGTATCTCACTAAGACTCTTCACCTCCTGCCTTGAGAAAACTTTCAAGGTTTCTACAGATAAAGAGAAGGACTCAAGGACTGGAGACCCCTCAAATATGTAGATGACACTGTCATCTTTTGCTTAAGCTAAAGACCTTGAAGCAATGGTGAAATAATATAACAGAAGAGCAAAGAATCTGGATCATTATATAAAAGAAGCATATGCAAAATCACATCGAGTACATACATTCAAGAGGGAAAGCTGGCTGCAAAAAAATTAGGCATTGCAAAGGAGTGTTTGTTGAGGCCATATGGCACACATTGTTACAACCCAGAAAGGTTCAGAAAGCAGAATAGACCCTTGTTAGAGTCTCTGTGAAGCTGAACATGAATAGTTCTCTACATTTAAAGAACTATCTACTAGAAAGAGAGATATGATACTAGCACATGCCTGGTTTTGGCAACTATAGCAAAAGCACACATATTTAACACTGAGAAAGAATGAAATTTGTGTAATAAAACAGGAAACACTTTGAGTATGGTATGATGTGAACAGACAAAAGAAAAACTGGTTAATAGCAGAATAAGGTTGACAATTACTAGGCAGAAAAATATCCGGCTTTCTTTAAAGATGTAATACATTACAGGTATAGGATGAGCCTGGTACACACCTGGGGTGACCCCTCCCAGTGGGTCAAAAAGGTCAGTTAGGTACCTTCATGGACTCGAATTTGTATTTACGTTTATGTAAATGAAAATCATCAAAACACATAGAACAAATTTGCAAACTTTATGATTATCTTCTATTCTGGAATAAGCCTGGACCATGGTTAGATTTCTTAAAATTACTCCTACCCTAGGCTTATACCATTACTGCTTTCCTCTTGGATTCAGAGGTGGGACAACAGGAATACTCAGAGGTGGGGCAGGTTTCTTGTTAATACATACGGCAACAGTTTTTCAGTATCTTAAAAGTTACAAAATTTTTCTAGGCTCTTTTAATAAAAAAGAAAAAATATAATTTCTCTTGCAGTCAATTGAATAAGCAGATATTGAGGTAATTATCCACAAAGTGAGAGTCTTTGTGGCAGAATATTAATCAGGAAATATTTACTGAGTCCCTTCTTCCATATGTCAAGCATCATGCTAGAGATCAAGGTGAACAACACAGACAGTTTCCCTAGACAAGTTTTCAGTTTAGCAGGGAAGGGAAGGAATAAGGACACATAAATGATGACAAATTAATTACCATTGTACAAAGAGATGTTAAGGGAGGTGTACAGATTGCAAAAGCAGTGTATAAGAAGTATACTCAAAATAATTGAAGGATCAGGAAAGGTTTGTGTACATGAGTGCTAGATACCTCAAGGTTGAAGAAGAAATGTTCAGGTAGTGTGTATGTGCATGCGTGTGTGTGTGTGTGTGTGTGTGTGTGTGTGTGTGTGTGGTGTGTTTTGACAGATCCACCTATACACATACACCTACAGTGGAACAGAGGGCAGAAGGACAGATATGAGAAAGAAAAAGATCTTGAAAACATCTGAGGCGATAAAACAAGTCCATTATTCCTTAAATGTAAGAGTGAGGGAGTGGTGCAGGGTGAGACCAGAGACAGTGAGGTCAGATCATGCAGGACCTTGTAGGTCAATATAAAGACTTTGGACTTTATAATGAGAGCAAGGGAAAGCCATAAAATATGACCAGCTAAAAAGTGAGTTTCTCTTTACCTGAGAAACATTAAGGGAAATGAATATTCTCTAAACCTCTAGCAATTCTCTAACTCAGCTGTATGTCTCTGGAGGATAGGGTCCACATTAAATGTATCCCTGTGTTTTACGCTGTGCTTTTTAGGGGGGAAAAAGCAGATTCATAACTAACCCCAGTGCAGCACAAGAAAACACAAGTGTCCCAAAAAGAGAACAAGCGGGATGCTACTAGAAATCAACACTGGAAAAGGTCACTTGGAGAGGGGAATAGATCATAGCTTTCTGTAAGATGTTACCTAGAATAATACATGTGATAGGCTAAATAACAGCTCCTAAATCCTCAGAACCTGGAGATGTTACTTTATATGGCAAAAGGGACTTTGTAGGTGTGATTAAATTAAGGACCCTGAGACAGAGCGGTTATCCTAGATTCTCCTGGATTATCTGGGCAGGCTCTAAAGGTAATCACAACGGTCATTAAAAGAGAGAGGTAGGGAGATCAAAGGAGGAAGAAGCAATGTGACAATAGAAGCAGGAGAAGGAACAGTGATATGATGGGGTGCTGTGAACCAGGGAGCGCAGGTGGCTTCTAGAAACTGAAAATAGCAAGGAAATAGATTCTCCTCTGGAGCGTCTAGAAGGAACCAGCCCTGCCACACCTTGATTTAGCCCACTAAGGCTCGTTTCAGATTTCTGATCTCCATAACTGTAAGGGAATAAATTGAGGTTTTTCAGTCACTAAGTTGGTGGCAATTTGTTAGAGCAGCAATAAGAAATTAACAAAATAGATATGATTTCCACAGAGTACATGGAGAAAGTATAATACTAGAAGGACAATTATTTGCTTAATGTTGCCCATTACAGTCTTGGTTTATGACTATTAGCCCAGCTTTTCTTTTATCAGCAGTGTCCCCTTTTTCTCCACAGATACCCTTATTTGGATTATAAATCTCTGTAAACAGAACTATTGAGGTAGGTGTTTGGAATAGCAAGTAGAAAACTGAGGGCCAAAGGGACATGGAGGCAGCCTCTACTTTTCATTCTAGTTTGCATAAAACACATCTCATGAATAACCACAACCTTATAAAATCAAAAGTTACACATTGATATATTGCTTGAAAAATGTGTTCTTAAATAAAGAAGAGAGGCCAGGCATGGCGGCTCACGCCTGTAATCTCAGCACTTTGGGAGGCCGAGGCGGATGGATCACGAGGTCAGGAGATCGAGACCATCCTGGCTAACACAGTGAAACCCCGTCTCTACTAAAAATACAAAAAAAAATTAGCCGGGCGTGATGGTGGGCGCCTGTAGTCCCAGCTATTCGGGAGGCTGAGGCAGGAGAATGGTGTGAACCCGGGAGGCGGAGCTTGCAGTGAGCCGAGATGGCACCACTGCACTCCAGCCTGGGGGACAGAGCGAGACTCCGTCTCGGAAAAAAAAAAAAAAAGAGAGAGAAAAGGAAGCCATGGCTCACCTTATTCCTTCTAGTCTCCTAGTTTTGACTTTATGTAAGAGGGCAGCCCTGCTGATTACTGGAGTCCATGAGATGATGAGGGAAGGTGTATACAGTCTGAACATTTTAATACCAGTCTCATAGATAACAGCATTAGCACAGATAACCTATACAGAGCTTGAAGATCACTTAAAAGCAAAGATGGCATGTTTGGAACTCTAAAAGTTAGATTTGAGGTTTCTGTGGGGAAAAAAAAATCTCTCTGGATTAAGTGTATGTTAAAGAGATCCCCAGCATCTCATATGCCTGCTAGTTTCGTTAAGTCCCCTATCAGCCAGGTAAAAGAACAATCTTATCACAAGGAGGTTGTTCGATTTGCCCTCTTGACTAATGCCAGTTTCATCTTATGAGCCATGCCACATCCATCTCTTAAGAACCAAAAAAGGTGTTCAAGTTTGTCGCATTTAAGGCCCCAACTCCTTTTGCTGTGGCCCCTCCTAGTCAATCTGTTATAGCCTCACAGTCCAGTCCAGCAGGTCTTCTCCTTATCCCTGCACACCACATGTCCATTCTCTCTCATCTCACAGCCCATGCCCTCCTCTACACATGGGACACCATCCCTCCTCTCTGTTATCCTTCAAGGACAAGCTCATGAATCCTTTGATTCTTCCTGTAGCTCTGCGGAGCTCTTGCTTGTCTGAGTATCTGTTGCATCTATACCCCACTATTATGTGCCACTTGTTGAGTCACTTCAACGTGTCAAGCACTGTACTAGTCACTGGTATGTAACTGGTAAATTTTCAAAAAGGACATAGTCCCCTGGCTTCAGATAAATAGCCAAAAATCAAGAAGCAAATAAGAAAATAATCACATATCATGATAAACGTTACGAGGGAAATGAACAGCAGATAGAGCTAGAGAAAATATTAGGAGCATTTACTTAAACAGGACAGTTACTAAGGAGGTAACACTAAAGCCAACACCTGAAAAAGCCCTCGGCCATGCAAAGTCTGCCAACTACAGCATTCACAGCTAGGAGAACATCAATGTCAGAGTATACTCCCATAATTGAGTTTAACCATCTCAAGAGAAAACAAATGGGAGCTCCAAAACTCTGAACAACTTTCCTAAGACTGTATAGCTTGAGGTGGATCTAGAACTATAATAACTGGGCTTCCTGACTCCCAGTCTGAAATCAGGCTCAGGCATCAGCTCACCCATTGATTATTTTGTAATTGTCTCATGTGATCCTTGATGAGCAGATACTAGGTCTTACACTTTTATTTCCTACAACTCTGCATATATAAAAGGTTCTCAATAAATATTTAACCAATTATGGCTGTTTCTTTTTACCCCTGTAACAGTAGCCACGTCTTGCTTCTGTTTTCTGGGCACTTCTGCTGCAGCTCACACAATAACGGGTTGGTGTATAACAGTGTTTTATAGGAAATGTAGCATCCACGTTTCTGCACAGTGGAGGAATTCCTATTTTTGCTCACATCCAATTTGGAGTCACTCATCCCACTCCTTGTGTCAGATCCCGATACCTTTTCTTGGTCCAGCAGAGCCAGAACATAAAGGCAGCTGTCCGGGAAACAGAG